>NC_000004.12:84830471-84981987 GCF_000001405.40 Homo sapiens | reverse complement strand
ACAACCATCTGATCTTTGAGAAACCTGACAAAAACAAGAAATGGGGAAAGGATTCCCTATTTAATAAATGGTGCTGGGAAAACTGGCTAGCCATATGTAGAAAGCTGAAACTGGATCCCTTCCTTACACCTTATACTAAAACTAATTCAAGATGGATTAAAGACTTAAACGTTAGACCTAAAACCATAAAAACCCTAGAAGAAAACTTAGGCAATTCCATTCAGGACATAGGCATGGACAAGGACTTCATGTCTAAAACACCAAAAGCAATGGCAACAAAAGACAAAATTGACAAATGGGATCTAATTAAGCTAAAGAGCTTCTGCATAGCAAAAGAAACTACCATCAGAGTGAACAGGCAACCTACAGAATGGGAGAAAATTTTTGCAATCTGCTTATCTGACAAAGGCTAATATCCAGAATCTACAAAGAACTCAAACAAATTTACAAGAAAAAAACAAACAACCCCATCAAAAAGTGGGCAAAGGATATGAACAGACACTTCTCAAAAGAAGACATTTATGCAGCCAAAAGACATATGGAAAAAAATGCTCATCATCACTGGCCATCAGAGAAATGCAAATGAAAACCACAATGAGATACCATCTCACACCAGTTAGAATGGTGATCATTAAAAAGTCAGGAAACAACAGGTGCTGGAGAGGATGTGGAGAAATAGGAACACTTTTACACCGTTGGTGGGACTGCAAACTAGTTCAACCACTGTGGAAGACAGTGTGGCGATTCCCCAAGGATCTAGAACTAGAAATACCATTTGACCCAGCCATCTCATTACAAGGATTATAAATCATGCTGCTATAAAGACACATGCACACATATGTTTATTGCGGCACTATTCACAATAGCAAAGACTTGGAGCCAACCCAAATGTCCATCAGTGATAGACTGGATTAAGAAAATGTGGCACATATATACCATGGAATACTGTGTAGCCATAAAAAAGGGTGAGTTCATGTCCTTCGCAGGGACATGGATGAAGCTGGAAACCATCATTCTCAGCAAACTATCGCAAGGACAAACAACCAAACACCGCATGTTCTCACTCATAGGTGGGAATTCAACAATGAGAACACTTGGACACAGGAAGGGGAACATCACACACTGGGGCCTGTCATGGGTGGGGGGAGGGGAGAGGGATAGCATTAGGGGATATACCTAATGTAAATGACGAGTTAATGGGTGCAGCACACTAACATGGCGCATGTATACATATGTAAGAAACCTGCATGTTGTGCACATGTACCCTAGAACTTAAAGTACAATAAAAAAAAATGGGATTGAAGGATTTTTATTTTATTTTTATTCTTTTTATTATGTTCACTTTTTTTTTTTTAATGGAGTCTCGCTCTGTCACCCAGGCTGGAGTGCGATGGTGTGATCTCGGCTCACCGCAACCTCCATCTCCTGGGTTCAAGCAATTCTCCTGCCTCAGCCTCCCAAGTAGCTGGGATTACAGGCATGCACCACCACACCCAGCTAATTTAATTATGTTTACTTAAAATCTAATTTAATGAAAGAAGAAATTGAAGTAAATCTGAAAGAATTGGTGTACTTGAAGTAAATTTTTCTTTACCACAAAAAATAAGTTTCTGAAACTTTCCTCTATAGATAAGATAAACATTAAGAGGTTAGAGTTGTGACTTTTTTAGACTGCATGTGTAAATTATGCTATACCCACAGCCTTTTGACTGTGGAAGACTGGGAGAGTTGTATATTAACAGTTTCTTCTACTAACCTCTTGTTTTGGCTATGGGAAACTGGGAGGTTTGTGCACTTATAGTTTCTTCCACCAATCTCTCCCAGATTTGTATTACTTATTAAGTTCATAATGTCAAGATTAATAACATTTACATTTTATTTTACAATCAAAATTCTTGACATGTTTTAGTTGTGGTTTTATACTTAAAGGGATTGTATTCATTATCATTCTTTTTCCACAGTTTCTTTATTCTTGTATTTTGTTTCTACACATCTCTTATTTAATTGAATTCCATTGACACGCTTTTTTTAAAGTAGCACTTACACGCAATGTATCCCCTCAATTTCTCTACCCTTGAGAATATGTGTTTTGGTTTTTATAGTTGAAGGATAACTTGTCTACAGATAAATTTTAAAGTCACATTTTATTTCCCTCAGAATGTTGTAGACACTCTTTCTGTTCTCTAGCATTAAACTATTACTATGGAAAACTCCAAGGAAAACCTGATTCTTTTTTAATGGAATGCTACTTGCTTTTCTACATAAAATTTTCATAAAACTCTGTTTTTATTCCTAAAATTCCAAATTGCACCAGGATATGTTTTGGGGAACATGATTCTGAATCACTTTTTCTCTTAGACGGAGTTTGCTCTTTAAATCTGCAAATCTGGTCTTCAATTCCAGAATGTATTTTGTCCTTTTTTTTTTTTTTTTTTTTACTATTTATTTTTGTTTGCTTTATTTTCTTTCTTAATTTCTACCTCTTCCTCAAATCTATTTTATTTCATTACGCCTATATGAAAGGCATGCATATCTTTTTCCCCATATTAAACATGATTTTTATATCACTCTTTTTTATTGTGTATTGTGTGATTTCTTTAGATTGTGTATTCAATCATGTGTTCTTCTATTAATTCTCCTACCATTTTTCAGCTCTTCCATTAATTTTCTGAGCTCTTTTATCTCCACATTTTCCTCTTCGGATGCCTTACATTTTTATTGAACTCTTCATTCTCTTGTTAGAGGTCTTCTTCTAGAAAGGACATTGTACTAGTTCTCTATCGTTCCATAACAATATCATCACTAACGTAGTGGTTTAGGACTATACACATTTGTTATCTCACAATTTCTGTGGATCTGGAGTTTGAGCATCACTTAGCTTGGTCTTCTGCTTTGAAGGTCTCACAAGGCTGCAATCAAGGTGATAGTTGGGGTTGCAGTCTCATCTGAGGCTCAACTGAAGGATCTGCTTGCAAACTCAACATCGTTGCAGAATTCAGTTCCTGGCAGACTACTACACCGAGGGCTCAATTTCTTGCTGGTTATTGGCCAGAGGCCACACTCAGCTCCTTGTCCGGTGGCTCTCTTCCTATGACATCTGGGAATATGGTAGCCTGCTTCTTCAAAGCCAGCCAGGGTCTCCTAACACGATAGGCTACAATCTTACGTGATGTAATCACATGCACAAAATCATCATCATCTCCTATTTGCACTGTATTCTATTGGTTAGAAAGAAATCATAGGTCTTACAGTCAAGGAGAGGATGCAAGGGTCTGAGCACCAGGAGGCAAGGGTTATGGGGGGTGATCTTAGAGTCTGCCCACCACAGTGACGTTGTATGTAATTTCTTGAAGACTGTGTTAGTTTCCTAGGGCTGCCATAACAAAGTGGCTGACTTAAAACAACAGAAATTTATTGATTTACAATTCTCAGGGCTAGAATTCTGAAATTAAGGTGTTGTCATGGCTATGCTCCCCATGAAAGCTGTAGGGAAGAAAACTTCCTTGCCTTTTCCTAAGCTTCTGGCAGCTCTTAGAAATCCTTGGTGTTCTGTGGTTTGTAGCTGCATCACCCCAATCTTTGCCTCCACTGTGACATGGCCTTTTTTCCTATGTATGTCTCCATAGGTCCTCTCCTCTTCTCATAGGATGCCAGTCACTGGATTTAGGGCCCACCTTAATACAGTAGGATCACACCTTCCTAATTGCATTTTCAAAGAATTATTTCCAATAAAGATTACATTCTAAGGTTCTGGGTAAACATAATTAGAAAGAGACACTGTTCAACACACTACAGAGATTACAAGGAAGTATTTATTTTAACTCTTGGAATATTTAGTAAGTAATTTACCTTACATTGTATGCTCTTCTTCTGCAGTTTATTTGTGTTTTTTCCTTTTAAAATATATTCTCACTTTCTGTCTTGATTCTTTTTTTTTTTTGTAGTAATAGAAATTACAGATTCACTCATCCTTTTCCCTTGCCTATCTCTAACACAGAAACTGTAACAGCTAACTAGTTATTTTCCTTGCCTTCTTATCACCAGTATTTGCCCAGAGACATGGTGCTTGTCAATGAGTTATTGACAAAAAAAATCTGCATAGGAGTGAAGAGTGACACGAGATTTCTGGTTCTTCTCTTCCTTTCCTTACTCCACTTTACTTCTAGCAATCTCCTTGGCTCAGAGAATAGGCTGAAGGCTGTAACACTGACATGCCAGCCTGGTTTCTTCTTTAGTTCCACCTCTCCTTTAAAGTAGACATTCCACTTCTGAGGCTCCCCCAGGTTCAGATTTTGCTACTCTAGTCACAGTCTTTCAGGATTGTTTCTCTTCCTTTGAGAGAAATCTTTGTTCTGCTCAAGATTAGAGAAGGCATGCTTTGGTTCTTGGCAATCAGCCTCTTTCCTCATTTTACTTTATTGCTGCTTCCTTTTTTGTAACTTAGGATTGTATCATTTCCTTGTTTCATTGAAGATGAAGTTGGTTGTTTGGTTGGTTGTTTTTCCTACATTATTATTTTTTATTTTTTCATTATTGGTAAGTTTCAAGGGGGAGGATCAAATTTTTTAAAATATTTTTATCTTGCCATCTTTAAAAGCCTCTATAAACTATCTTTAAGAATTTTAACATCATTATTTAACCTCTACTTCTATAATAGTCAGAATTGAAAGTAAAATATTATATTTTGAATTCTCCCTATTTAATATAATGAATTTTTGAATTTTGTAAATTTCACATCAGTATCCCAAGTAACTGGGACTACAGGCATACACCACCATACAAAGCTAATTTTTTTTTTATAGATAGATATGGGGTTTCACCATGTTGCCTCACCATGTTGTCTCAAACTCTTAGGCTCAAGCAATCTACCTGCCTCTGCCTCCCAAAATGCTGGGATTACAGGAGCAAGCCACCATGCCTGGCCAAATTTAGTTAACTTTTTTCCCTTTCCAACTTTTTAGTCTTTGCTAATATAACATGGAATCTAGATCCAAAGTGTTACTATATTAATATTATATGTATTTCCTTATTCGATTTTTATATGATGGTTGTATTTAGTTTACAAGCAAATTTACAGCCATTTTTCAGCTCTCTTTTTCTTTTTTTTTCTGTGTTATATGTATTTATTCCTTTTTTCTTTCTTTCCTGTGTATTATTTCTTTTTTTTTTAACCAAGTTTCAGTGCTTGCAGTTTGTCATTTCAAACCCTTAATTTTCACTATCTCTTAATTTTGCTTCATATTTCACTTTTTGGAGAAATATTTAAGGCATTTAAAAAATTATATAAAGGTTGTCTCATAGCCTTTGCATATTTGAGACCGTCTTTCTGTTGACCTTTACCTATCATGACTATATATAGATGAAAATACAATTCTGTGGTTAAAACTTTTCCAGCCTCAGATCAGTCAGTATAGGCTTTTGGATGTATTGACAAATGATCCCCAAATTTCAGTCATTACAACTTCAAAGCTTTATTTTCAGTCATGCTACTATTTCCCTGCAGGTAGGCTGCAGCTCTGTACCACATCACCTTCATACAAGCACCCAAGCTGAGCATCTAGAATACTGCTGGCTGTCTGGCATAGGGCAAAAAAAGCATGGCAGATGATATCCTGGCTCTTAAGTATCTGCTGGGAAGTAATGCAGTCATTTACACTAGTATTTAGTAAGTTGCAAAGTCAAGCTATGTCAATAGGCATGGAAGTACAACTATCTTTTACAAGTGGGCAGCAAATATTAGTAAACAATAATGCAATTTATTATACCTGCATGTGTTCCAGACATTGCTCTTTATGCTGGTATATCCATTCATAAGAAAGAAGGTTAAATGAAGACTATTATATCTGAGATGGAGGAAATAGGAATAAGAATCAGTTTAGGGAAGATGATAATTGTAATTTTAGAGAGTTGAATATAAAGTATCCAGTAGGCAACTGGATATGAGACTGAAAGTGTTGGGAAAGGTCTGGGTTGGAGATATTAATTTATGTAATCAGTGTAAAGAACTGAATTCATTAGAATTACTGAAAGGAGTGATAGAATGAAGGTGTCACCTTAGAGCACTATCTGTAAGGGGCAGGTAGAGAATTTGAGAGGAACCAGGAAGAAGGGACTAGAGAGTATCAGGGAAAAGAGGATCATAATTGCCAAAATAAGGACAGAGAACTTCTAGTATAAGATGGAAGATATTACTTTATGTTGAATTAGGAGAACACTGATGACTTTGGTAAGAGCAGTTTCAACAGAGTAGTAAAGTTGAAAGCCAGTAACAGGTAACTGAAGAATGAGTATTAGAGATTTAAGTGGAGAAATGAAGTATAAATTGAGCACTCTTTAAAAACTTCAGAGAAAAAAAAATGGAGATTGGGAGATTTTCCCCGCATCTGAACAATGAAGAGACTTGGAAGTATTTAAAGGACCAAGAATCGTGTTTGTGTGTGTGCATGTATGTGTCTGTGTGTACTTACATATTCATTCTTATTTTGTAAATCGGCAGAGGGATATACAAGATAAAATCACTTGGAATTTTTTTTTTTTTTGAGACGGAGTCTCACTCTGTCACCCAGGCTGGAGTTCAGTGATGCAATTTCCACTCACTGCAACCTCCACCTCCCGGGTTCAAGCGATTCTCCTGCCTCAGCCTCCTGAGTAGCTGGGATTACAGGCACCCACCACCACGCCCAGGTAATTTTTGTATTTTTAGTAGAGACAGGGTTTCATGATGTTTGTCAGGCTAGTCTCGAACTCCTGACCTCGTGATCCGCCCGCCTCGGCCTCCCAAAGTGTTGGGATTACAGGTGTGAGCCACCACACCCGGCATAACTTGGAATTTAAAACCAAAATTAATCAACATAGCTATCTTTAAATTGTGTAAAATCCATGCAATTATAGTTAGTATTTAATGTCATGGTATGTGCATTAGTCTGGGTTCTCCAGAGAAATAGAATATTAGATAGATGATAGATAGATAGATAGATAGAGAATAGATAGATCGATAGATGATTGATAATACATAGATAGATGATAGATAGATATATAGATAATACATAGATACATAGATTTATCATAATGAATTGGCTTAGGTGGTTATGGAGGCTTAGAAATCCCAAGATCTGCAGTTGGCAAGCAGGAGACCCAGGGCAGTTGATGATATAGTTCCAGTCTGAGTCCAAGTATGAAAGCAGGATAAGACTGATGTTCCAAGTCAAAGACAGTCAGGCAGAGAGTAAATTCTCCCTTACTCCACGTTTTTAGCTCCATTTGGGCCTTGGACAGATTGGATGAGGTCCACTTACATTGGGGAAGGCAATCTGCTTTACTTGGTCTGCTGAGTCAGATGTCAATCTCATCCAGAAACATCCTCAAAGACACACCCAGAATGATGTTTAACCAAATATTTGGATATTTCATGGCCCAGGTAAGCTGACACATAAAATTAACCATCATAGTATGTCGTTAAATTAAACTTGGATTTATTTTTTTTAAAATGAGGCTGGGAGTGGTGGCCTATGCCTGTAATCTCAGCACTTTGGGAGGTCCAGGCAGGAGGATCGCTTGAGCCCAGGAGTTACAGACTAGTCTGGACAACATGGCGAAATCTTGTCTCTACTTAAAAAAAAATTTTTTAAGGAAAATGAGTGATATTATATACATAATATAATTGATTTTATAGAGTCTCACTATGAATTCAGAATGATTTAATTTCGTGATAAGCCAAGTAAATATAACTCTATTTGTTTGTGACTGGTTTTATCTAGAAACACAAGCTATTGAGGAAAATTTTTAAATAAAGTAACTGTAGGTTTTGTGCTTGGTTATTTTGTTTGTTATTGTGTCCCTCTACCCCATCCCATTATCTGGAAGTTTCAAAAGCACAACAGCAAAAAAGGAACTTGATTTTTAAAGATTATATAATGGTGGCAGAAATGTCAAGAGATAAGGAAGAGCAAAAGAGGAAACACAAAATATTGCAGTGATAGAGAAGATCTCAAAAAAAACTAGGTCAATGTTTGACTTCATTCACAGTTGCTCCTCAAATATGACATTGCCTTGAGGATAGAGTGCCCTCAAATTAGCACACATTCTGATTAGGAGAGCAGGGTCCAGTAGCCAGTGTTAAAGGAAACAAACATGTTTTCTAGTCTTGTCATAACACATGAAATAAACAGGAAAAAAATATAAATTAAATGTGTTTGGAATCATCAATAATCCAGCATATTTTATTCATTCCTTAAATGTGTGTACTTTGTTAAGTTATGATAGGTGTCAATTGCTTGATTCAAAACTTCTCTACCATGATGTGGAATAATTTTATAATGTAAAATGGTAGTACCAAAACTGGACCAATAAAGAGCCAAAACACAGTCATTGTCCTCACTGAATTTATAGGCATAAACCACATAACATAAAAAACTATAAAACTGCATCTGTGATTAGTGCTATGAAGGAAAATTGAGTGGTTCTATGAAAAATTTAATGGTGGGATTTGTGACTTAGTTCAGTGAAGACATCGTTAAAGTAGATGAAGAATAGAGGCAGGTAATCGATTGTGCAAAGGCCATGTGGCGAAGGGAGCATGTCAAGGAGAAGGGACTGAACATGCCAGGGTAATAGCAGTAGAGGAAGTGCATTAAATTATGGATCATGTCGACATTCGAGAGGTGGATGGTTGGCCAACTATGCCAGGTCCTAAGAACCACTGAAAATCTGTAAATGGAAACAATGGATTGGAAGAGATTCAAGTGACTGTGGGTAGACTAGATAAAAGGTTATCTCAGTTGAAAATATGAGACTAGGGTAGTGCCAGAGAAAATGGGAAGAGGTGTTCATGTTTGAGAGTTATTTGGAAGTAAAATTGGCAATCATTGGTAATGGATTTGATGCAGGGAACGGGAGAAATTGAAGTGTTATAAACCTTTTGAGGTTTCTGAGTAAAGCAATACAACAAAAACTCCACTCAGATGGAAAGCTCAAAATACAGTTCTTGAATAAGCCCAAGGATTATTTATAGTAATTGAGGACAGGAGCAAATACTTATTAGACTGTAATTTATATGTGTTGATAATAATTTGTGTGCCCCACTGGAGCAGCAGGAGGTACTCCTGTACCATCTTGTTATAGTTCTTAAGACATTATCATTCCTGGTTGATATCTTTCTCTAGACTGTGAGCTCCATAAAGGTGGACAGTAGGTTTTTATTATATCTCTTGCAGGCAATCTAGTTTCTGGCACAGCAATCACTCAAATATTTGCAGAGTGAAGTAATTAGGTCATGACTTAAACTTTACATTATTTTATTTTCCAAATTATTTTTACTGTAGTTATACAATTTAAATGTCCTTTTTTTTTAGACAGAGTCTCACTCCGTGGCCCAGGCTGGAGTGCAATGATGCAGTCTCGGCTTGGCTCGCTGCAACCTCCGCCTCCCAGGTTCATGTGATTCTCCTGCCTCAGCCTCAGCTGGAATTACAGGTGCCCGTCACCACACCCAGCTAATTTTTGTATTTTTAGTAGAGACGGGTTTTCACCATGTTGGCCAGGCTCGTCTCAAACTCCTGACCTCAAGTGATCTGTGTGCCTTGGCCTCTGAAAGTGCTGGAATTACAGGTGTGAGCCACTGCACCCAGCCTTAAGTAAGTTTTAATGTAAAATTTTTCTATATTCAAAATTTCCAAATAATAACTTTATTTCCTCATTTACATTTAAGCCCTATTATTGCTGCATTACTAATTATGGTCAGAATTACCTGTTTGAATAATGATAACAACCACCACCACATGCTAGTTGTGATGATTAATTTTAGGTATTGACCTGACTGAATTAATGAATATATAGCGAAGTGATAAAGCATAATTTTGGGGTGTGTCTGTAAGGGTGTTTCTAGAGGCAATTGGAGCGTGAGTCTCAGTGGACTAAGTGGGGAAGATTCACCCTCAATGTGGGTGGGCATCATCCAATCAGCTGGAGGCCCAGATAGAACAAAACAGAGGAAAAGTGAATTGGTCTCTCTGTCCTGAAGTCGGGATACACTCTTCTGCCCCTGGACATGAGAATGCCAGGCTCTCCAGCCTTTGGATACCAGGACTCACACCAGCTCCCCTCTGGGTTCTCAGGCCTACATACTTGGAATGAGCCACGCTACTGGCACCCCAGGGTCTCTAGCTTGCAGATGGCCTGTTGTGGGACTTCTCAGCCTTCATAATTGCATAAGCCAATTCTAATAAATCCCCTCTCCTGTATCTGTATCTATATTTTATTGGTTTGGTCTCTCTGGAGAACCCTAACTAATACAGTAGCATAGGATATAGTCCTAGGTGTCCATCTAGGAGACTGAGTAATTTTGTATCACCCAGCATAGTGCTTTTTAGCATACTTTAAAGAATTATGGAATAAATTAACAGACCTCTCGCTGGTTACAGATGGTAAAAGACCAACTAATTTTTCATTCTAGTCAGCAGATGGCAGTGTTTTACTTTATTTAGCTAACTGAGGTTTGTTTCCTGAGTCTTGCAACACTCACTTTTAACTTAATCCATGAAATAACACAGTATTTTTGAGTTAACTTTATACTTTTTGAACCATAAATAAATGTTATAGGAGTTGTTTTAGGTTTTTAAAAATCGCACATTTTTTAGTCAACTTGAGCTTTCTTAAGCTATCTTTAAATTTGCTTTTTACATTAATTGCAAACAATTGCTCTCATTTTTGTAAACAGGAAAACCCTGTTTATTTACTTTATTCCTTAGCTTTATTTCTAAGAAAGGTCAACGCTGAACATTAATTCTGGAAATTAAGTTTAAATTATATTTAACTGAAGATGGCACAGTTAAAAGTTTCTTTGGTTGAGTTTCTCTCCTCTAAGATGAGCCCTGTCAACTCTGAAGTTATGGGACTTGAGACTGAGTCAGGAGACCTGGATTTCATTCAAATTGCTACAAAGTTTGCACTAGATGATCTATAGTGAGCCATTTGAATAATTTTTCACCAGAATTTTTAATGAGTGAAATATGCTCAATGTGTATACTACTATACAGTCGACCCTTGAACAACGCCAGGGTTAGGAGTGCTGTTGCCCTCCCTGGCTGCTGTGCAGTTGAAAATCTGTGTGTAATATTTGAATCCCCAAAAACTTAACTACTAATAGTCTACTGTTGACCAGAAGCCTTACTGATAACATAAAGCTGATTCACATATATTTTGTATATGTATTACTTATCTTTACAATAAAGGCAGAGAAAAGAAAATGCTATTAAGAAAATCATGAAGAAGAGAAAATATATTTATTATTCATTAAGTGGAGAAGGATCATCATAAAGGTTTTCATCCTCATCATCTTCAGGTTGAATAAGCTGAGAAGGGGAGGAAGAGAAAGAGTTGTTCTTGATGTCTCAGGGGGGTGGCCAAGGTGGCAGAAAATCTACATAGAAGTGGATTTGCATATTTCAAACCTGTGTTGTTCAAGGGTGAAGTGTATTTATCTTGTAAAAACATTGTAAATATACTGGTTTTAAAAGTCTGAACTCTCCATAGAGAAACATAAAGGAACTGAAAATGAAGAGGACCTTTAACTTTAAGTAGAAATAGAATTTATTAATAACAAAAGTCTTCAATCCCCCATCTCTATTATAATGCTGATAATTATGATGAACAAGGGCAAAACGTGATACTATTCTGTTTCCTCCTGTGAGCCTGTTACTCTTTAAAGTTTAAAGAAGCTTTATTACATATTACTTACTTAAGTATAAAGAGAAACAATACATCGAGCTACACACATGCCTCTTCCCAAAACAAAACAAACTCTCCAATACCTCTTTTGAATGTATTTATAAGAAAAACAACAGAAAAAATCTCTAATTAGAACTTTCTAAAAGCATTTCTCCCCAATTAGAGTGCAGTAATGACTATAAATGGCACTGTCTCAGGGACAGCTCATCAGTTAATTATAAGTAGTTCTATAAATTGAGGAGTGAAGAATGATACTAAATTTCAATCAGTGCAGATAAATATGGCTTGTCATTATTCAATTGATATTTTTGACAGTCCACCTAAAGAGGAAGATGCAGAACAGAAATATTGTCTTTTCTAAAGAATGGAGATTATGAGAACATTTACCTTAGACTATATTCTTGTCTGGAATATGGTTTTCATAGACACTCAATTCCCATGATCCCCAGAGACTTTCATTGGCTTGCCCAGTTTCTTTCCATCTGGTCCTTTCAAACCAGGAAAAACAATATGGTAATTCTATTGTTGCGTCTAGTAGCCTGGAAAAATGGAAATGTATATTTAATATAATATGTAATATAGTGGCTCAGTAATTTTTAAATATGTCAATTAACACTTCCATTCTTTTTGATTTTTGTGTCCCAGCATCATTTAGCACTCTATGTTCTGGAATAAATATCTCAAAATTCTATAAATTACATATGCTCATCTCTGGGATAATGCTACCTGACCAAGTTTAAATTATTTCCTGTATAGTCTTAAAAGCAAACATGTTAACAAAAAGTTAACATAAAGAAAATAATTGTTTAAATAGCAAACTGTTAATATGTATTATTTAACAATTTTCCAAAATTGCTGTTTTCTATTATTTTTTCTTCCTCTTACTTTTAGATATTTTTCATGAACCTTTTATCTCCATTTTCCTTCCTTTAAAATTATGTTTCACTCATTCATGTTCATAGAATTTTCAATCATGTTAAAAGCAAATATGGGTTGTTTGCTTATTGTCACAGATAGCCTCTTGGTTATCATTCTCCACAGTCACCTTATTCATGAATTGTAAGTTGGAGATCAGCCTCCCAGTGCAGAACTGTTTAGAAATAGCCCTTCATGCTTGCTCCTCTATTCCCAGAGGAGTTTGCTGCACATGCCTAGATCTCTTTCCATCTGGCCTCTGCACAAAGGGTTTATCCCACTTTAACACAATTCTTTGTTTTATAGAGGACCTTGACTTTATCTGAGAGTGAATACATATGAAACAATAATCATGTTGCAGGAAAACCTGATTTGATCATTTTTTTTTCGTACTTGATTCCTAAGATGACAGTGAAACTACAGTTAGCCAGCAACAAAGACTAAAGGCTGTAATGATGACAGAGCTGTAAAAAAGTAAATGTGAAGGGTCTGATTTTTCCATTATTACAGTACTTACGTTTATGTGGCTTCAGTAAAAAAGAAAAAAAAAACTTGGTACATTTATTTTTATGTCTATCACTGAAAAACCTTTGTGAGTTTGTAAGACATTAATATGAAAACGGCTGCTTTTGCATACTGATAGATTTGTGAACTTTATTGCAATATATGTTTTAACAGAAAAATATAATTATAGTATTTTAAAATGTAACTCTTCCTCCCTCAGTGTAAATAAAATCACAATGACAAGAGTCCTGAAACCTCTAACTGAAAATCTTCCTTTAAAAATGCATGGTGGTCTTAATGTTTAAAAGAAGTCAGCCTATTTTCGCAGTGTATATTCATGTTATCTAACGTTCTTTTTTCTCCAATTATTATACATACAGTTTTATAAGTGAATATTTAAGAGTCAAGAATTTTGTGGTATTTTGCCTAGAAATAGACTGGAAGAACACAAAATCTAAATAAAGAATAAACACCAAAAGGCCAAAGGGAAAGAACAAAAAAAGTACATGTACATGCATATGCACACACACACCCCCACATAGGTGCTTTGTTTTTAATAATTTATTTCAAAACGTATTGTACAATGCTGTCTCAAATACTTTATTTGGGTTTAAAAGAGTTGTAGATGTTAGTATAGGTTGTTGATTTCAAATGGAAAAATTATTGGCATTGAAAGATGGCAACTGAAATCTTGAACCTAACAGTTAATTAAGGTTACTTCGTGAGGATTAAATATTAGAATTCTGCTCCGCCCCCCACCAAAGGATACCGGTATTTTTACTAAAATATATTTTTAGGTTTGTTTTGGCATATTCTTTTCAAAGAGATTTGAAACTCTTAAATTGTTATAATTACAAAATCTTATATTTGAACTTTCAAAACATTACTCATTTTGAAGTAGAATCTAAAACTACATTTAAAAACATTTCTGCCCACATTTGGTCTGTTTAAGGGACTAACCTTTGAACACACTAGTCTTATTTTGAAAGGGCAAGGTGTTTTTTTTTTTTAATAGCCAGTGCCCCACAGAAGAAAAACTGTGACACCCCCCCCCCACAAAGTGCTCATATATATCACCTGTGTTTGTTAGCAATGTTACCTCCAACTTTGTTATCTTGGAGTAATTGACGAGTAAATCATTACAAATGGGTCCAACTCTAAAGGCAAAATCGTCAAAAAGAAGAAAACAGCAAATCCAACTTGCCTTATGTTTATTAGAGGAAATCCTGAAACTTCTGTAGATTGCAGTGTTAGGAAAAACAAGTTTGTGATTACAGCGATGTTATGACCACTTCCCCACTCTAACTCTGTTGTTTAAGGGAGTCCACTCCTAACTGCTGACTCAGTTTGTCTTTACTGCCAGAACTGAAGCGTGACCCAAATTGTCTGCTGGGTTGAGTAGGAACAAACGGGCAAAATGATGATCACTTGGCAGTTCTAGGTTTACTAAAGGATACTTATTTGGTCTAAACACTGTTTGTGGGACTGCAAAGGTATAAATAATGCCCCTCCCAGGAAGGAAAAGGAAAATCTAAAATCTTAGGCAACCGACTCAAGGTCACTGACGGAAGGCACCATTTGAGACCGAGCTCCTCAACTACAGTCCCATCACGGACGGGAGCCACACAGGAGAGCGTGCAGGAGTTTCGAAGCTGCGTAGTACAATAGCTGGCGTGGGCAGTTCTTTTATACTCTGGCTAGAGTAAAATTAACGCACCTTTGCGTTTCTCCATCGCCTCTGACAGCATCCAGCTAAAGGGTGTAGGGTTAAGGAAAGCGGAACCCAGTTGTCCTTTCTCAGCTGAGTCCTTTCAGAAACTGGGACTGAGGAGGGTGAGCGCCGCGGAGAGGGGCAGGGGTGGGAGAGGAGAGAGGGGCGCGGGGCGGGGAAGAGGCGCGTCTGGAAGGCAGTGGGGAGAGGGACTGAGAGGAGTGGGGTTGAAGTCCAGCTGGGAGCATCCAGCGGCGCTGTCTGCAGACAGGGGCGAAGGCAGCCGCTGAGAGTGAGGCAAGAGCGGGAAGCCGAGGGAAGGGAAGGAAGTAAGGAAAGAGGAAGGAAAGGCAGGAGGGGGTAGAAGCTGAGCGGCTGCAATTTCTGCGGCCGGCTCAGTAGGAGGAGCAGGAGGGGAAAGAGGAGGATCCAGTCAGTCAGTCAGACAGCCAGCGGGAGGTGGAGAAAGCAGGAGGAGGAGGAGGATTAAAGATGGCCACCAACAGCTGCGGGAAACGGCAACAACCCCTCACTTTCCGGGATGGTCCCTGCGGGTCGGCCCGGCCTTGATGGAGAGAAGAAACCCGAGGAGCGCCGAGGCTGAGGCGGCGGCGGCGGGGACCCAGCGAGGACGAGGACGCGGCGGAGCAGGGACGGGGGCAGGAGAAGGGAAAGGCGGCGGCGTCGCTGCCCCTGCTGCCTAGCACCGCTGCCTGGCCCGGCGGACCGGTTCCCATACCTCGCGGCCGCAGAATCGAGCTCGGGCCCCGGCCCCCGGCCCGCGGCGCGGGGCTCCCGGGCCCCGCCGCGGACGTCGCGCCGGTCGCCCCTTCCCCGTAGCCCGTGCGCCCTCGGCGCGGAGCCCCGGCCCGCCGCGGTCCCGTCTCCTGGGCCTGTCCCGCCCGCGCCCTCCGCCGGCCCTCAGGTGAGTACCCCCGCCATCCTCCCCGCCCCCCGCGCTCCCGGAGAGGCGGTGCTGCCTCGGCCCGGCGCGCCTGGCCGCTTTGTTCGTGCGGGGCGGAGGCGCTGCCCACTCGCGGCCCTGCGCCCGCTCCCCCTAGGGACAGGCCGCGGCCCAGCTGCTGTCCTCCCCAGGGTCCGCCTTGGCCGGGAGCCGCCGCCGCCGCCAGGGTGGGCGGCCTGGCCCTAGTCCTCCGCTGCCTCCTGGGGAGGGCGCCGTCGCGGACGGGTCGGGGTCGGGGTCACGGGCGGCGAGCGGAGCGGAGCGGAACCGGGATATTTCGGGGGATAGGGGAGGAGAGGGCTGGACGTTACCTGTGGGAAGCAGTGGGGGCGTAGGCGGCCCTGGCTCGCAGGGGTAGGGGATCAGGCCCTGGCCCCCCCCCGCTGCATCCTGCGGGGTCTCAGCTCCCGGAGCCACCCGGACCTGAGCGCAGCCGAGCGCGGCCTCCATCCCTCGGGCGCTGTCTCCAGGGCTTCGGGCCTCTCCCCCTACGCCCTACGCTGGAAGCCCTTCGATTATGGAAGGAGCCAGAGATGCTCCAGTTCTCTTGTACTGGGGATGTGGTGGCATCGCAAACATTCACAGTTACGGCGGGATTTAAGAAGCAGATGAGACCTTTCCAACCAAAGGCCATCTGGCTAGTGTTTGAGCCTCAGGTGCAGTTTTTCATTGATTTTTACCATTTAATTGTGAGATCTGCAATATCAGGTCTTCCTTTCACAGAAACAATGTGATACAACCAGATTGAAAGGATATTTACTGCATATGTGAACCCTTGCATGGACTTCCAGTACCTTAAAAATGGTTAAGTGTTTTCTGTTGGAAAATGGTGCTCATGCATACGAAAAACTATTTTTGTTCAGTAATGGTTGCCAACTGGTTTACTATGTAGTTTGAACACCAAACAATTAAAAAGGAAAAACAAAACCCTATTCTTCGGGCTTTTTAAATAGTGGCATATTTCCAGGTTGGTATTTGGTAGCAGGTTGAGAACAACTGGTTTCGACTATCAGGCGACGTAACAAACATAACATAAAACAGAACTAAAAATGTGCTAATTTATAGAAAAACATGTTGTATTAGTGCATAAGTCTAGTAAAAAAATCCGACTTTAAAAAAAATAAAACTTTATCATGAGACTCTTAAGTATAGGAATTAGGTTGGTATGTTTTTATGTTTAAAAATATATATTGCATTAGAATTGAGAACTCTTCCTATGATATTTGAGCAATAGTAAAGTATGTTAATACTTTGAACCATTCTATCTCAAGCTGCTAGAAAGAGGTTTCTACTGCTAGTTTCTTTCCATGAGTTAAAATGGATTCATCTGAAATATATGTATGCTTTTGGTGGGTCACAGTGGGTCATGCCTGTCATTCCAGCACTTTGGGAGGCCAAGGCTGGGGGATCACTTGAGGCCAGGAGTTAGAGACCAGCCTGGGCAACAAAGAGAAAACAATTTTTGTAAAGAAAAAAAAAAATGTTTCAAAAAATTTGTATCACCTCCAAAAAGGAGGGATAAGTTAGAAAATACAATGTTCTACTCTTGCATAATCTGTTTTTGAAAAAGTAAATGACAGTATATTTCAATATTAGTTGGATTCTCTGCTTTGAAGAGATTCTTAAATTCCACTGCTCAACTTTGCAATTTTAAAAGTTTACATCAGTTGTTCTTAATTTATTTATTTATTTCTTTTTTTAGAGACAGGGTCTTGCCCTGTTGCCCAGGCTGGGGTGTAGTGGCACGATCACGGTTCACTGCAGCCTTGAACTTCTGGGCCCGAGTGATCCTTCTCCCACAGCCTCCCAAGAAGTTAGGACTACATGTGCATGCCACCATGCCTGTCTAATTTTTCTATTTTTTGTAGAGATGAGGGTCTCCCTGTGTTGCTCAGGCTGATCTTGAACTCCTGGCCTCAAGTGATCCTCCTGCCTTAGCCTCTCTAAGTGCTGGGATTACAGATGTGAGCCACCATGCCCTGCTTCTTTCTTAATTTCATGCATATACTTCTGAGGGTCCTTGGCTTCCCAGAAATCATATGCAGAATATAGCATATATTTGCTTTTTTCCTAGATAAAGACTCTGTTGGGTGATCACATTCTCAAAAGGATATGGGTCTGTAAAAGATTATGAACTTCTAGATATAAAATTAAAGAATACATATTCCATATTTGGAAAGCTAAAATTTTTAAATTACATTTGATGATTTATGTCCTTCATTTCTGATTATGCCCAAGAAATGTTTGTGATTAAGAGTTCAGCACATAGACGTTGTTTCTAACACATTCTCATTTAAATCGAAGGAAAATATTAATCCCATTTTACAGATGGGGAAATAGAACAAGTTGTTTTAAAGTCATACAAACACTGGTGGGCCAACATGTGAACCCAGACTGTCTGAAGTTAGAGCCAGCATTCATAAACAGGGTATACTAGACTTTGATCGGTAATACCATTTGATTGATGTTAAAATAAGTAATTGATGTTTTAGTTAGAATTGCAAAGTATATCTGAGATTATCATAGCATACAATATCATAAGATTTTAGAGCCCTGGACCCCCAGTATGAAGAGATCTTAATGATACTAACCTCTGTTAATGATGCTAGTCTGAAATCACACCCGAACTAGGGTCATTTCTACAGCATCTTTGGCAGGATCATCCACCTCTGATTTTAGTATTTCCTGTGATTACGAATTTCCCCTCTTCTTTTTTTTTTCTTGACCTTTTTTTTTTTTTCTTTTGAGATGGAGTCTTGCTGTGTTGCCCAGGCTGGAGTGCAGTGGCATCATCTGGGCTCACTGCAACTTCTGCCTCCCGGGTTTCGAGAGATTCTCGTGCCTCAGCCACCCAAGTAGCTGGGACTATAGACCCTCGCCACCACGCCTGGCTAATTTTTGTATTTTTAGTGGAGACGGGGTTTTACCCTGTTGGCCAAGCTAGTCTTGAACTCCTGAGCTCAAGTGGTCTGCCTGCCTCTGTCTCCCAAAATGCTGGTATTACAGGCGTGAGCCACCGTGCCAGGCCGTTTTTTTTTTTTTGTTTTTTTGTTTGTTTGTTTTTACATTTTAAATCTATATTTCTATTTATGTCGAGTCAAAATCTGCCTTCCTGATATTTACACTGATAAATCCAGTTCCCCCTTGGTGTGTGTGGTGTATTTATCATCCATGAAATGATTAAGAAATAAATGGCGACCGGGCATGGTGGCTCACACCTGTAATCCCAGCACTTTGGGAGGCCGAGGCAGATGAATCACCTGAGGTCAGGAGTTCAAGACCAGCCTGGCCAATATGGTGAATCCCCGTGTCTACTAAAAATACAAAAATTAGCTTGGCCTGGTGGTGTGCACCTGTAGTCCCAGATGCTCGGGAGGCTGAGGCAGGAGAATCGCTTGAACTGGGGAGGTGGAGGTTGCAGTGAGCTGAGATGGCGCCACCGCACTCCAACCTGGGTGACAGAGTGAGACTCCATCTCAAAAAAAAAAAAAAAAGAAATGGCTCCTACTTTAATTTTTTAGAGTAATGTTTATTGAAGCATAATTTACATGTAGTGAAAGTAAAAGTTTAACAAATGTCTATAATTGGATAGTCTCCACCACAGTCAAGACATAGAAAAGGACGTTTCCGTTACTCTAAAAAGTTCACTCATGCCCTGTCATGAGTCAGTCCTCTACCTCTACACTCCCAGCCCCTGAAAACCGTTAATTTAATTGATGCTCTTAAAGTTTTATCTCGTCTGGCATATATAAATGGAATTATACATTATGTAGCCTTTCGTGTTCCCTTGCACTTAGCGTAATGCTTGATATTTATTAAGTTGTTACATGTGTCAGTATTTTGTTCAGTGATGTGCTGGGAAATGTCTTAACAACATACTCTTCAGAAAAAAAAAAAGAATCTCTGATTTATAGCATTCGCTAATCATTGTAGTGTAAACACTGTCACTATGGCCTAAATTAAGCTACCAGCTTACAGAATTCCTGAAAATTTAACAATGGGCTCCCATGAGCTGGTACCAGCCAGCTCCAGCACAGTTCCTTTTTTTGTTGAGTAACATTGTTTTACACCAGGGTAACACAATTTGTTCATCCATTCATAAACTGATGGACATTTGAGTTGTTTCTAGTTTTGATCAAATATGAATAAAGCTGCTATAAACATTTGCATACAGGTCTATGTGAGGGACAAAAATGTTCAGTTTTCTTGAGTTAATACCTAGGAGTGGGATTTTTGAGTCCTAGGATAAGTGTATATTTATTAATATCAGTAACCTTTTTATTGAACTACTGAATTGTTTTCCTAAATGGTGATATCATTTTACATTCCTACAGCAATATCTGAGAGTTTCAGTTGCTTTACATCTTTATCAGCACTTGGTATTGTCAGTTATTAAAACTTTAGCCATTTATTATATGTGTAGTGATCTCCTTTAAATTTTTTTACTCTTATTTTCAGTAGTGTTTAGACTCAGTATAGAAAGTTTATGATAGATATTTATAAAAAAATAATTTTCTTTAGCTTGGGCATCAGTTATGATCTCACTATGAAGGCTGCAGCCTTTAAAGGCTGTTTGTTGAGTTTTTACTGTGCACTCATCTTTCATGTTGTTAAAATTACTTTTTGTAAAGGAATAATCATTAGGGAATTATTCTAATGCTTAGCTGTTAGCAATTTAAAAAATGAACCATTTTAAACAGGTAGATAAAGCTTTGTTTAGAAAATTAGAATTAAAAAATTTATCATAAAGAATTTTTTTTTTCAATTTTACTTGGACTTAAAGGGAAAAAAAGATTCTTTGTGGCTCCCTGTATGCCAACAATTTGCTTTGATGGGATTTCACCAAGTTCTGTAAACTCATTGAATTGTTCTTTATTTTAAAATCTTGAGGACTGTCAAGTTAGTTACTACTCTTTCTGAAACCACAGTATCAAAATCTTTTTTTTTTTTTTTTGAGACAGAGTCTTGCTTTTGTCACCCAGGCTGGAGTGCAGTGGCATGATCTCAGCTCACTGCAGCCTCCACCTCTCGGGTTCAAGCGATTCTCCTGCCTCAGCCACCCGAGTAGCTGGAATTACAGGCATCCGCCACCACGCCCGGCTAATTTTTGCATTTTTAGTAGAGACAGGGTTTCACCATGTTAGCCAGGCTGGTCTCGAATTCCTGACCTTGTGATCCGCCCGCCTCGGCCTCCCAAAAGTGCTGGGATTACTGTGCCTGGCCAAAATCTGTCTTTGAAATTTCACGTAGTTTTAGTGTGGACAAAGGATTAAATTACACATAGCTCATATCAACATTTAATTTTCAGTAGTAGAATACTGGGTTGCCCCGTTGGAATAAGATATCATTCATTCAGAAGATGATATGAAATAAAACCCTTAGAAGAGTAACCTGCCAGTTGCAGTGGCTCATATCTGTAATCCCAGCACTTTGGGAGGCCAAGGTGGGTGGATTGCTTGAGCTCAGAAATTCGAGACCAGCCTGGGCAACATAGTGAGACCCCTTCTTTTTTTTAAAATAAGAAGAGTACCTTGTAAAATACATAGTCATGTTAGACTGTAAATAAGAATAGCTATATTCACAGTTTGAGTACCCCGTAATAATGAAAGATGTTTGTTTAAACATCTCAACAGTTCTCACGGAAAATAGATAATTTGTTCAGTCATTGATTCATACATTTGTTCGTATACATACACGAATGTCTTGTGCATGTAGTATTCAAGGTCCTTATCATGATAGAGCTTACAGTTGAGTGGAAGAGACTGTTGAATAGGGTATCACATACGTGAGGTGTGGATGCTGTAGGTAGGTACATATGGTGTGGAGGTGGGGTGGGCATGGAACTCAGACTTCAAAGTTTGGAAGGACTTCCAGGAGGAAGCATTGTCTTCATTGAGAAATCTGGAGGTTGAGTAGTTAGGGGAAGTGGCTGTGTAGCATTAATAGAATGTGCAGTTATCCAGAGATGAGAGAAAATGCAAATAGCAAACATATCAGGAATATTATTTTCAAATAACAGGCCTCTAAAGCCTACATTTATTGCCCCTACCCAATCTCAGTTGAAATTAGGAAGGTTAATGGGAAGTAAAACTAGGGTAAAAACCAAAAAAACAAACATTTACTATACTATTGAGGTATTTTTTGGTAGTTTGCTTATTTCTAACATTCATAGACTGACATAATTCGATCATATTATCTTTGAACTCATCCCCAGATCTTGTAAGAAGCGTTAATATAGATAAGATTATAGCCTTCCTTTTTTAACATTTAGGCTAATTCTCATCTAATACTGTAATGTTTATTCCTAGTTAAGTGTATTTGATTTTTATTGCTGCCATGAAGTTCATCAAGTTTTGTTTGTGTGACAAGTATTAATGACATCTGAACCACTGATTTTTTGCTGGGATATGTCCAACTGCTGGTTTAGACATATCTGCTGAGATATTTACACAGGCATGTCAACCTCAGCATGGCCCAAATGTAACTCATAATCGTTCTTCCAAAATGTATTTTCTTCTCCTATCTCCTCAGCTTGAGTAAATGCTGTTAGCACCTGTTCTGTCACTAGATTGAGACTGGCAGTCATCATCCACTCCTCAGTCTTCCTCACGTCTCACATTTAATTAAGCATCAGGTCCAGTTGTTTTTATCTTCTAAATGTTTATCATTTTCAACCTCCACCTGCCAGAAGACAATTTTGGGGCCTGTATTTCCCTGCTGAAGTATTAGAGAGGTCTTTTAAATATTCTACTTAACTGCAGTCTCACGTCTTCTCATAGATTACCCTCACACTCTTTCCAAAATGAATTGTTTTTTGTTTTAATTTTTTAAAATGTGAAATTGTGGTCTTTCCAGTATACCTTTTTTTTTCTGCTTAAAATTCTTGAATAGATCTTAAGTCATTATCAAAGAGGCGCTAAAACATGGGGTTGCAGTCTATAAAAAACTCTTTGTAACCTGGCTCCAGCTTCTCCAGTCACATCTCTGACAGCCATTCATTTGTTCATTTTTTAAAAAAAGACTTGAGTGTCTGCTGTCTGTTAGGCACAGTGCTGGGTGATAGCGCTATATCAGGGAGCTTAAATTCTAGTGGTGAGGGGAGTAGATAACAAGTATTACTATTGTCAATTGTACTGTCAATAATTGTCAATTATTATAATACATAGTACATTATATACTATATTATTATAACTGTCAGTGACATCATACAATCATTGGGGTGCTAAAGTATGGGTGGGTTTGCCATTTATAGAGGTCTGAATCAGAAGGCCTCTCTGTAAAGGTCCATTAGAAGAGATTTGAGGCAGCCAAGGGAGTGAGAATTGTAGGACTGAGAGAAGAGCAAGTGCTGAGGCTCTGAAGCAGGGTGCTTGGCACATTCACAGAACAGTAAGGGGTTGGCTGGAAGGAGGTGAACCATGAGGTCAAGGTGATGGAGGTGTCATTAGTCTTGGGTAGGCCAGTGTTAGGACTTTGACTTCTGAGCTCAGTGTGTTTGAGCCTAGATTGCATCCTCTGCATGGCAGAGATGCATTCCTGTCTCCTACTTGAAGCTTTTGAAGTATGCCAAGCTCTCCTGCCTCTGAGCCTTTCTTTCTACCTGGAATAGTACTTAGGTTGTCCCTCCTGGATGTTCCCTTAGCACTCTTGGTTGTACTCCTATTATGAAACTTAATAGCTGGTTTATTTGTCTCTCCACCCTAGGCTGAGGTCTTGGATGGGAGGAACTGGAATTTTTTAAAAAAAAACTTCTGATTTTTTATTTCATTGAATTAATGTTTGTTGAATTATAGAACTGCTTAAACATAGGATTAATCATTGAAAACTGGGTAGGAGATGCCAACCACATTGCTTAGCAACTGCTAGTTCATGTGGACATGGAATCTGTTTTGCTGACCACTGTGCATTTAGTGCTGGTGCAATGAGCTATACACAGTAGGTGCTCAGTAAATACTTGGTAAATGATTGAGTGCACATTCCTGTACCAGCCTCTGCCTTTTCCACTGCTTCCCTGAAACCCATGGGTTAAATGAACCCAAAATCCCTTAACGTTTCCTGACAGCCTTATCTTTCCACTAATCTTATGCGCAAGAAATGCCAAATACTTAGAGATGCATTCTTTCACCATAAATAAATGTAATAATAAAGAAATACAGTAGCAAAGAAATGTGGAAATAATTTATCTCCAAGTTAAATAAATAAAGTTCATTGCAGAATGTTTTGGCTCATTCACACTTCTGTTTTTCTTTCTTTGGTTGGAATTTTTTCAGGTTAATTTATTACTTGGCCCCCAAATCTTTAATAACTGTAACACTAATAGATCTAGAATATCAGTTCTATAAACTGTGAAACATGAGTCCTGCAGAATGTGAAAAGCCCAGCACCAGAAATAAGTTAATGATATTTCTTCATGTGTTTCATTTGGTTGAACAAGGAAGTACTAGTTGATTTATTTACTTGACTGCAGTGGTGCAGGGCTTTGGGATTTTTGAGTCTAAAAGTATCAGGCCTTACCACGGACCTTTCAGGGATCCCTGAGACATCTAGGTATCATTAGGGTCATAAAACTGTGACCATTAACTCCAAATTCCCCAGTTCTTGTTGCAGGCTTTCATGTCCTGTCTGACCCCATTACCTTCACGTCTTTGAACCTTCAGAGAAGGGACATTGAGATATATTAAGTACTGTATCTGCAGAAGATGTAAGACTTGAGGCAAAACATTAAAGCAATGTCTGTTAGTGATATGAGTCACTTACCCCTCATTTTTGTTTAATCAAAAATTACTGTGTCCAATAGATTGTGTATAATAGATGATAAAATATTGGATTATTGATCTTCCATAGCGTTATAGTCCATTGTGAGAAGTCTCATTATGATATGCCTTGTAGTTTTGTTTTTTTTTTTTTTTTTGGTATATGAAATACTTTGTATCTGTTAGCCCACTTAATGCAGGCACTATATATATTTTGACCAACTAAACTGTAATTTCACTAAAGTGCTGAGATTTTGTTTTCAGTTTGGGGTTTTGTTGCTGTTTTAATGCTTATGACTGAGTTGGGCCTTGGTTTTATATCTCTATAAAGTGGTCTCACTATTAAATAAGCACATTAGTTTTCTCAACTCCAGGAAAATTATTAATGATTTTCTTAGGCCTGTGGTTTCTTCCATAAAGGTTTTTTTTTTTTTTTAAGAAAACCATTGTCACCTGCTTCTATTCATGTATTAGTATATTTGTGTATAATATATGATTTAGCTTAATAATATGTCATTGTTTTGTGATATTTCACAAAAGAACACCATGGTTATCAAGTGCTGCAGTAATTAAGCAAGCTCAAGGCTTGGAGGTGTATGGAGACAACCCTTTTTATCATTATGCTGATCCAATAGCAGATACTTGTAAGCCTTAAAAAAACTGAAGCCCTACTTAGTAAAGACAACTGACATAGGTGGTACTATAATAATGTATTTTGATGAGGTTGCAAGCTTAGATTGGGAACTTTGTATCAACTAGGTACATGTGAAGCCCCAGTGGATTTAAAGTATTGTATTTGGGAGTTTAGAGGACTATAAATGAGTGAGGATTTTAAAAAATAATTACAGTTGTTTGATTCTTTTGTGAATGGCCTAATCCCTTTAAAGTATTCATTACTACTACCTATAAAAGATTAGTGCCTATTGATAATGGCACTTCAGAGGCCCAGAAATTAAAAGACACTTGTTCTTCCCTTGCCAGTAGAGAGCTGTGTCTTTGGGTAGGACCACTAGCCTGTCTGGCGTCTGGTTCTTCATGCATTGGCTCTTCTTTCCACTCTGGGTCCTTGAAATAATAGCGATCATTGAGTTCTGACATGGATTCTTTCAGCTTTCTTCAGTTTCTTAAGCCTTTGGTACCTGTGTTACGAGTGGAGATCATGTGACAGGGTGATTTTTGACATGTTGTAATTGGTATGTTGTCAACACTTGATGAACCAGCTGCTCAGCCAATTAATACCAGGCCCAGCTTCCTCTTCCTGTATGATGTTTCTTCCTAGCATGTTTCCTTCTGTTCTCCAGCCAATATAGACTTAAAGGAGGCCAACTTATTTAATATTAGCCTGAGGAAAGTAGGAATTTGATACATAGCTGTTATTTGGTCTATGAAAAAATTATGCCAAAATTATTTTGTTATGTGCTATTTTTTTTTCAAAGGACAACTGATTTGTTTATCTGCACATTAACTTGTAGTTTTATTGCCTTGCTCTGAGTAAAACATCCACACACATAAATTTCACTTTATAAGTTGAATAACTCAGGAGGTGATTAATTATCCTGCCTAGGATTCAACACTTTAAATAGAATTTCCACAAGTATTTTCTCAAAATATTCGTTACTTAGTACATGTTAAGTGTTTGAGTTTAGAAAAACAATTTAATATACCTGTTTTAATTTCTCCAACACTTATTAAATATGCATTACCTTATTGATTTTTTTAATTTTTAATTTTGAAATAATTATAAACTTGGGAAGTTGCAAAAATAGTATAGAGCTCCACGTACTCTTCACCTATCTTTCTTTCCCCATTAGTAATATCTTATAACTATAGTACAATAACTGATTTATATTTTATTACTAAAAGCATAGTGACCTTATTTTGAAAAATGTTGGAAAATACAAGAATGTTGGTATTTTTGTCCTCTTCAGAGGATGAAGATGTTTGTGTATACAAATTCAGATCTGTGCCTTATGTCCGTAGGCAGCAGGCCCAGGGTATGTTTCTTCCCTGCATTTCCTGTAAGAAGAGCAACAGGTATTAGACAAATGGCTGATTGTTTCCACAGGGTAATTCATTCACAGCCCTAGATATAGTCATGTAAAAATTTTAATTACATGGCATTCTTCTTAATTCCTCTTTACTGTTCTTCTTTATTTAGTCACTACCATATTCGCTTACTGGGAGCTCCCGCTCCCTTTTTGTTTTTTTTTTTTTGAGACAGTGTTTTGTTCTGTCGCCCAGGCTGGAGTGCAGTGGCACAATCTCAGCTCACTGCAACCTCTGCCTCCTGGGTTCAAGCGATTTTCCTGCCACAGCCTCCTGAATAGCTAAGACTACAGGCATGCCACCCTGCCTGGCTAATTTTTGTATTTTTTGCAAAGACGGAGTTTTGCCATATTGGCCAGGCTGGTCTTCAACTCCTGAGCTCAAGTGATCCACCTGCCTCAGCCTCCCACAGTGCCAAAATTACAGGAGCGAGCCACTGTGCCTGGCCACTGGGAGCTTTCTTAACATGTAACAAATAAAGCAAGAAATATTGAGCAGTTAGCCAAAGAGTGTTTATTAAGTATCTGCTGTCACTGTGCTGATTCTAGAGAGAGTTTGGAAAAATTAATAGTGCAGCTAAATAAGCAGCTATAAAACATTACCAGACATTGTATAATATATTTCAGCAAATTTTATTTTCTCTCTAGACACATAATGTAGGAATATGATTGACTTTCAGTAAACATTTGTTGAGTGAATAAATGTAAATAGACAGTAAACATGTCAGAAAATTAAGAAAATAAATGTTCACTGTTACTCTGAGGAACTCTAAGACTGTTTACTAAAAATGAAAGAATGATAATATGTGTTTTATTATGTTTCTTTTTTCTGTTCACCCTAGAAATCCCTATAAATTTATAGATAAATTTATAGTCAGATTTCTTTGATTAAAGCCTGGAGTCTTTTTGTGTCTCTTTGACCCTACAGTCCAAGTTCTTTCCCCATGGCATTGCCCATTAAAACACAGTATTAGGTGATTTAGATGATAAATGCCATAGTTGAGTAAATAAGTATGAAATAAAAATAAACTCTATATCAGTTATTTGTAGAACAATCATTGTGTATTGATTGCTTAATAATTTTATTTAGCTTGATTTATTTGTGTAATGAGTAGGGACTAAATTAGATCAAGTATCAGGGATTAAACTTGCTACCTGAGAACCTAGTTCTTATTTCCCAAAATAATGATCCTATGTAAATAGACTCTCAAGTGATGTTATGCTATATAATAATAATTCTGTAAGCTTTTTTTCCTAAAGATGATAACATATTTTATTGTGATTGTGCTGGGTATCACGGGTACTATGCATGGACGCTTTACACATGGGTAGTTCTGCCCTCAATAACTTTATAACATAGTGGAGATAAGATAGGTAGATACATAATTGAATGGTATTTGATGAGTCTGAGAGGTGCAGAAGTGCTATGGACACTTAATGAGTAGAAAGATTATTTTCGATTGAACTGATTAAGAGAACCCTAAGATATGATCTTTGATCTGCATATCAGGGGGATTGATCAAATTTCTTTGGTGGGAATTGTGAAATTTATTTATATCAAAATTATAGGACATATAAAATTGATAGATTTCACTCTCAGTGAATCAGAACAGGTTTCTTGGGGAAAAATATTAGCCCAAATATAATATTTAAGTAAAGAAGAAAAGGATTAGGGATAATGTAAGATACTTAGGAAAAAAAATACTTATAATATGAGAATCTTACTCTTGCTCCTGAAGCATTTTACAACTAGGTCATCATAAAAATTGTACTAAGTATGACTTCCCTAGCATGTATTCTTTTTTTAAAAAAATACATTTTATTGTGTATATTTAAGATATTCACATGATGTTATGAGATAACATAAGTAGTAAAATGTTTACAATGGTGAAACAAATGAACATATCTATCATCTCACATAATTACCCATTTTTCCCCTGTGTCAAAAGCAGCTATGACCTGCTCATTTAGCAAAAATCCTGAATACAATACATTGTCAGTTAATGAGATCTTTAGATTTGTTCATCCTGCATATATACTATTTTGTATCTTTTGAGACACCTCTCCCATTTCCTCTGCGCAACCGTGACCCTCATAACTAGTTTTATTCTCTGTCTCTGTGAATATTTGACCTTTTTTTTTTTTGATACCAGATAATAAGTGAGATCATGCAATATTTTTCTTTTGGTGTCTGGCTTATTTCACATAGTGTAATATCCTTCGGGTCAACTCATGTTGTGGCAAATGACAAGATCCCCTTCTTTTTTTTTTAAGGCTGAATAATATTCCATTTTTTATTATACACCATAGTTTCTTAATCCATTTGATAGTTGAGGGATACCAAGGTTGTTTCCATACTTTGGCCATAATGAATAATGCTGCAGTGAACATGAGGAATGCATCTATTAGAGGTGGTGATTTCATTTCCTTTGTGTATACACCCAGAAGAAAGGTTGTTGGGTTACAGGTAATCCTAGTTTTAATTTCTTTAGGACCCTCCATACTATTTTCCATAATGGCTGCACCAATCTACCATGTATGCTTTTTAAGTTTGATCTGCTACATTAATGACAGATGTAATTTATATATTTCACTTAATTTGCTAAATCCAGAAATTTTTTTTTTTTTGGTCAAGATGAGTATTTATTTTGCTGTTTTATTTTTTGAAGTTGCAATGTTTAAATTATTTCTGAGTGGAATAGCATCGAAAAAAATTTCTTGATGTTGTGGAGTTCAGCATTGCTGAGTGGTAGCTGTCAGTGGCAGGCTTTAAAGAATAAGCTGGAAGAAGAAGGGAAAGTAAGATGTTGGTGAATGGCAACATGATGAGAGGAAAGCAAGAAAAAGACAGAGAAAATAAAAGTTCTGTATAAAGGGGTGTTGTTTTTGCCTCAGGTCATTCAGTATAGCAGATGGTACATTGTACCTGGTCAAACCTGAAGCATTTCTGAAAGCTAATTTCTTTGTCAGACCTATAGAGAGCAGAAAATCTTTTGAGTTTGCTTCAGTTATACAATAAATATTAATGAAAAATGGTGTCATACATTCTTTTATGTTCTCCACCTCTTTTTCCGCAGAGACCTAGATTTATATCTGAGTCACCAGAGTAAATAAGTTCAGTGATTCCCAGCTTGTCTTAGGTTGCATAACCACCACATGGGTTGGCATAGGTGTTTTTACTTTCAGGAGGATGTGAGGAAGCCTGTCAAGACATGGCAGCTGCTGAAAATGCATTAAGGCCACTACTACCACTGATAGGTATTTGTGTGGTTGGAGCAGGGCAGGGAAAAGTTGTACTGCATTGCTTTTCTGAGGTAATAGTACTTGTCATCTCTATTCATAGCTTGGAAAAGAGTATTGTGTCTTTCTTAGAAGGCTGATTTTTCTTTCTCTGTGGATTTTCTTGCACTTTCAATTTTCTCAGCCTGACTAAAACTTTCATCAAAAATGAACTACTTTTTGACTGTGGCTTGCCAATGTTGATAGATGTTTAAAAGTCTCCTCATATTCCAGCCTTTCTTCTTCCTACCCTGCTTATTGACACCCACTTTAGCACAGGGTTTAATAGTGGCTTTGCCTATCCTGATGTCATCTGGCAAAGCATCATTCCAGTCCAATGAAGATTTTGTTTGGCAAGCACTATTTTAATGGAAGAAAACTGGTTGCATTGCAGTATCTAATTGTTACTTTGGTTTTGTTATTTAACATCGGGCATGGCTTACGTTCACATCTGTGTGCTTTTTTGAGTTTTGTTAAAGTTTAGAAGTGATTTTACTATATAGCATGTGTGGCATGTTGTTGAGATATAGATATATATCATACTTCTAAGTAGCAGAAGTAAGTATTGTGCACAGGCTTTAAGTTAGATTTTTTATATTACATCATCTGTTATCATTTAAAGGATCAATACAAATTGTATTTTTATTTAAAATTTTTAAAGATGGTAAAGTAATTAAATTAGTAAAGACTGCTCTGGCATCAGATAATCTGTTTTCTTCATGAGAGTTCAACCCACTGTGACTTCTGTTACAAAGGAAAGCATGTCTGTGAACAGCAGTTTTGAAGATTTTTGTATGTTCATGTTGATGGAAAAAATATGATAAAAACAAACGAAGAAAATAGAAGATAAACATGTTGACCAGTAACTCATTCCCGGATGCCCGAAATACAGAGAATTCCTATTCAAATAAACAAGTAATAAAATGGACTTTTAAAAGATAAATATTAAGCATCCTGTGAGGAAAGGGTCATAGGAATATAAAATTAGAATAGAGGTAAATAATTGCCTGGCAAGAGGGAAAGAGTACATGAAATTAATCTCCAATGTGAGATGCATTTTGCATTGTGTTTATTAATGAATAGGGAGTAGTTTTTGGAAAAAGTGAGTTTCTCAGCACTTACATTACACTTTGTCTCCTTAGGGTAAGGCCCTCCCTAGTAATTGACATTCTGCAGTGATTGTATTGCAGTATAAGCTGAGTACATTTGACACTTTACTAACCATCTCAACTCTTGATTTACTTTTTCATTCAGTGTGTTTATTCAGTGTCTACTTTGTGTGCTGAAACTATTTTTCTTTTTTGAGTTGGAGTCTCCCTCTGTTGCCCAGGCTGGAGTGCAGTGATGCTATCTCCGCTCACTGCAGCCTCCGCCTCCTGGGTTCAAACGATTCTCCTGCCTCAGCCTCCCAAGTAGCTGGGACTACAGGCGCATGCCACCATGCCAGGCTAAGTTTTTGTATTTTAATAGAGACGGGGTTTCACCGTGTTAATCAGGATGGTCTCGATCTCCTAACATCATGATCCACCCGCCTTGGCCTCCCAAAGTGCTGAGATTACAGGTGTGAGCCACCTTGCCCGCCTAAAATTATTAAGATGATGAGATGCTATTACTTCTTTCAAAGAGTTCATATACTAGTTTAGCCTATATTAAATAATGTAACCTTTTTTTTTTTTTATTAAACTTTAAGTTCTGGGATATGTGTGCACAACATGCAGGTTTGTTACATAGGTATACATGTGCCATGGTGGTTTGCTGCACCTATTAACCCATCATCTAGGTTTTAAACCCCTCATGCATTAGGGATTTGTCCTAATGCTCTCCCTCCCCTTGCCCCCCAACCCCCGATAGCTCCCAATGTGTGATGTTCCCCTCTCTGTGTCCATGTGTTCTCATTGTTCAACTCCCACTTATGAATGAGAACATGTGGTGTTTGGTTTTCTGTTCCTGTGTTAGTTTGCTGAGAGTGATGTTTTCCAGCTTCATCCATGTCCCTGCAAAGCACATGAACTCATTCTTTTTTATGGCTGCATAGTATTCCATGGTGTATATGTGCCACATTTTCTTTATCCAGTCTATCATCAGTGGACATTTGGGTTGGTTCCAAGTCTTTGCTATTGTGAATAGTGCTGCAATAAACATACGCGAACAGCATCTATTTTTGAGATGTCATTGGCTTCCCACCTTAGCCACAGTATTTAGAATTCTTTATTATCTACTGCACTTGTTCTTACTGCAGTTCTGTTGGCTTATAAGGGGCCTGAGGTAAATATATTTACTTTTGTCCTTGAGTTTTCGACTACTTGGTAGTTTTTTTGGCGGTGATCCCATCTGTGGCTTGATCTTTAGCTAGGAATCAAGGTTGTAGAGAAAGCAGAGGAAACAACTTTAATGAAGGTGTAATATTAATAACAAAAGTAGATTTTGGAGAAAGTGATAGGAGTCCCATTTTTTGGCACTAAAGAGAATTAGAAATTGAATAAGTTTCATAGAGAAGAATTCAGCATTGTTCAGAAGAGGCACTGATTTATGTGACTAGATATATATACTCTTTCATTGCTCTGATATACCTTAAGTTTTGCATTAAGAAATTGCTTCTAGAACTCTTGGGAATCAGATGGCCTTTTCAATATGCTATAATCTAGAACATATTTACAAAATGTAATGTAGTCATTGTCATTTCTCCTATTTTAAAATTTATCTGGTGATTGAAAAATAAATTTGGGCGTGTAAATGTGTGGGATTCTTTCCTATATTATGTTATTGTTTTAATTGTACTATACTGCCAAGTTTCCAGCTTATGCCATTTAGAAAATAACTTTTTTCTTTTGTATATTTTCTGTTTTAAAATTCTGTGAGCTTGCTTACCTTTTCCATATCTCAAAATTTGATAGAGCTTTGTTGTATTTGTGATATGGGAGCACATGGCCAAGTTGTAGAGTAGGGCAGAGGTAACTATTATGCAGGACAGACTAGAATCAGTCCACATTTAAGGTATAGTGCTGCATGTTAAGGTCAATCTAACCTTAACTAACTACAGGCGCTGAGGAAAAGTTCTTTTTGGTAGGCCGTGCCAGGGGTAAACAGCCAGAGAATAATTCAGTCAACCTATTAATGGGAATTCAAGGGGAAGAAGCATATGGAATCTGAAATAGGAGGGTGTGTGTGTGTAAATGACGAAATGAATGCAAACATACATGCTTATATATGTATGAGTGGCCACCAGATAATTCTGTCTGTGGGTACTGGACTCTAGCTATCAGTCCTTGGGATTGGGAATTTAAAGTAGACTGCTCAGTCCTAGGAAGAGAAAAGCCAGGAAGGGATCAGACTAGGGACCTCCAAAAGTGTCTAAGCAGAAGCTTAGTTATAATAGCTGAGCTATAAACAGGAAAAGGACAGCAGAAGGGGAAGGAGTAGAACAGGGTAGGCATCATAACGAGCTAGAAATCCTAACTATCTAATCTGCAGTATGAAGGCTGGGTAATGTTAGTGATGACTTGATCCAGAATTAAAGATTGGGGCGAAACTGCAAAAACATCTTCTATCACAAGTCCGTATTGGTGATCTAGGATTTAAGTGACAGGCGAAGCCAGGCACTTGGAGAGCAGAGACAGGCTGGGCTTGACATTCTTTGATGAACTACTAAGTATCTTTTTTTTTCTATATACTATTAAGTATTGTTGATCAGTAATCATTTAGTCTGCTTTATTGGCATTGGTATGGCATCACGAGATGCAAAGAACTGCTGATGCCTCATACTAACGTCTTAACAGGGAACTGCTGCTAAAATGAACAAACTTACACACTGAAGTAAATATGCTTTCTTGTGAAATAGGAGGATATGAAAAAGCATGTTAGGCATGAGGGTTCTCATGTCACACTTTGGAAGGCAAAATTACCCTTTAGGAATTTATTTTCTGAGTTGGATAAGAGGAAGCAAGGAAAATGCATGATTATGATAAATTGACCTTAAAATGAGAACCTCCACACCTTTCATTTACTTCCTATAAAAAGTTATAGTAGCATTTTTTTGGTTGCAGTCAGTTGACACTTACTAGCTTGAGGAGGGGAAAAGGAATTAATGGGACTCATACTGGGAATGGAATGATGGATTGAACAAGTGGGTCTTGAACAGAAGATATCAGAGTTGCTTTGAGGATCTCATTAGCAGGAATTTTATTTATTTATTTATTTATTTACTTTTGAGACAGGGTCTCACTCTTTCATCTAGGCTGGAGTACAGTGGCATGATTATGACTCACTACAGCCTTTACCTTCCAGGCTCAAGTAAGTGGTCCTCCCTCCTTAAGCCCCTGAGTAGCTGGGACTTCAGGCACATGCCACCATGCCTGGCTAATGTTTTTTTTTTTTTTTTTTTTGGTAGATGTGGGGTTTTTTGATATGTTGCTCAGGCTGGTCTTGAACTCCTGGACTCAAGCGATCTTGACTGCCTTGGCTTCCCAAAGTGCTGGGTTTACACGTGTGAGCCACTGCGCCCAGCCTAGCAGGAATTTTTATTTTATTTTATTTTATTTATTTATTATTTTTATTATTATTATTATTATTATTATTATTTTTGAGACGGATTCTCGCTCTTTTGCCCAGGCCGGAGTGCAGTGGCACAATCTTGGCTCACTGCAACCTCCACCTCCCGAGTTCAAGCGATTCTCCTGCCTCAGCCTCCCGAGTAGCTGGGACTACAGGCCCGTGCCACCACACCTGGCCAATTTTTTGTATTTTTAGTAGAGCTGAGGTTTCACCATGTTAGCCAGGATGGTCTCCATCTCCTGACCTCGTGATCCGCCCGCCTCGGCTTCCCAAAGTGCTAGGATTACAGGCATAAGTCACTGTGCCCGGCCCCTAGCAGGAATTTTTATACCTTCTTCCTAGACTCCTGCTATTAAGGTGACTTTGCTGTAAAGATTTAGTCTCTCTCTGCCTTGCATCTTCAATTTATATATTCCATCAAGAAAGGATTAAATTGGCCGGGCACGGTGGCTCACGCCTGTAATCCCAGCACTTTGGGAGGCCGAGGCGGGTGGATCACAAGGTCAGGAGATCGAGACCATCCTGGCTAACACAGTGAAACTCCGTATCTACTAAAAATACAAAAAAATTAGCCAGGCGTGGTGGCAGGTGCCTGTAGTCCTAGCTACTAGGGAGGCTGAGGCGGGAGAATGGCATGAACCTGGGAGGCAGAGCTTGCAGTGAGCGGAGATCACGCCACTGCACTCCAGCCTGGGCAACAGAGCGAGACTCTGTCTCAAAAAAAAAAACAAAAAATGAAAGGATTAAATTAACCTCGTTCAGATCAGGTGTCTGTCTGTACTAGAGCCAGGGTATGCAGACTTATGATGTATAGCGCGCTAGGAATATACCTCGGTGCTGGGGGTCATTCCCAAAGAAGGGGAAGTCAAAAGCTGGGCAGCCCTCCTAGGTGTCTAGAACATCTCACTCTTTGGTAGCTTAACCACTGCTTTTCCTGTCTCTTTCCCTTTGCTTTCCTCCCCACTAGTAGAGATAACCCTGCTATCCCATGTATTGATGCAGTTTTTCCAGTGGGAGAAAAGCAAAAAGCAAGTTGAAGTACCATATCCAGAGGCAGTGCCATAGGGCTACTGACTCTGAGTGATATCATGCTGCCTCCTGGTTCCATTGTGATTCTTTCTTGATATTTTACAACCTAAATTTAACTCCTGCCAACTTGCCATCTGCATGCTTGAGGGAAAGGAAGAGGAAATAAAGAGAAAATGTATTTAAAGGGAAAGAGAAGGGTACTTATCACACACCAGTGACTATTAAGGAAATAAATGGTGGCCACAGTCCTTAGTTTTACATCTGAGCACAAAGCCCTAACCTGTTTCACTTCAGATTACATATTTCTGTTACCTTCTGCTAGTGTCCTGGCTTATCAGGGTTCTGTTTCTAGGAAGCTAACTCAGTCCTTCATTCCCAAAAGGGTCTGAGGTTTGGTAGTTCCAACTGTATAGAATTGTGATAATCTTTCACTCACATTAACACTGTGTACGGCACTGCCAGAGAATATGAGATTCCCCCAAGTTCTTTTCTCATGATCTTCCTAGCCCCAGGTGTGCAGTAGCAACCTGTCTTCTCCTTGATGGTCAGGAGCAGTCACCTCTGTCAATTCTATAGCCTCCATTTTTGCTTGTTTTTTTATTGTTATGAGGAAATAAAACTCTGCTTTCAATTGAGTGAAACAGTTATTTTGTTTCTTGGTATAAGTATTTCATTCTTGGGTACTAAATAAAATTTCTAGATCAACAGATTCCAGAGTTCTTGAGACAAGAAGCAGAACTTTGAAAGCAGATGAAATATACCACCTCCACCATCACCACGTTCCCACATCCAGTGTGTTCCGGAGATGGGAGGATGGGAGACATCATATATTAGTGGGTGGTTCAGAGCTTATTTTATGTACTATAGGACAGCACCCCAATATCAGAAGGTTTCAGGTGGCGCAACAACTTGCATGTCAAGCTTCAAAATGCCATTACTCCTCTGTGAGGACAGCTGTGTCTGAATAAGAGTCTATTTGATAAGACTAGTGAGGTCCCTGGGCATCTGCCCATCACCATTTGAAGTGAGTTCCTGGATCAGAGGCCCTGTGAGTGTGATTTATATGAAGCATTCACTTAATCTTGAATGGTGGTGCTGGCAGAGACAAATTCAGAATTGGTGTTTCTTATAGTGAAAAGCAGCCATCACCATTTCTGTAATGCAAAGGGTTTGTTATAATTTACCTGCTAAGAAGTAGTCTCTCTTTGGGGGACTCAGGCAAATGTGTTCTCAACAGTAGTGACAGTGACATCAGTCTTAATGAGTTCGTGCAGATTTGCCCTTGCATAACTGCTTCTCCTTCCACCTGGTGGTTTTCATGAACCTATTGAGCAAGGACCAGGCTGGCTGGAGGAGTATGAGTTGGTCTGTGATGTGGGTCATCTTATCCACTCAATTACTAAGAGGCTTTGTATTTTGATTTGTTAGCAGAATTCTGGTGAACATACACATGGGACAGGAATTTTTTTAGGCTGTGACCCTGTTGTGAGAGGTTCATTCAAGTAGCTATTCTGAGAATCTCCCTCTTTTTTATCTTTTGATCTTTTCAAGGCCATTGATCATGACACAGAAAAGGGAAGGATTATAAGCTTTCCAGCTACTCCAGGAAGTGTCTACTACAGAAGTAATAATATATTCTATAAGTTCCCAAAACTTAAGACTTTCAGCCACATCCAGTGACTATATGTATTATTTATTTATTTATTTTTATTTATTTTTTTGAGAGGAAGTCTCACTCTGTTGCCCAGGCTGGAGTGCAGTGGCGTGATCTCGGCTCACTGCAACCTGCCTCCCAGGTTCAAGCAATTCTCCTGTCTTAGCCACCATGCCTGGCTAATTTTTTGTATTTTTAGTAGAGACGTTGTTTCACCATGTTGACCAGGCTGGCCTTGAACTCTTGACCTCAGATGATCCATCCGCCACAGCCCCACAAAGTGCTGGGATTACAGGCATGAGCCACTGCACCCAGCCTGTTTATTTTTTGATACACGGTCTGACTCTCGCCCAGGCTGGAGTACAGTGGCAAGATCTTGGCTCACTGCAGTCTCCTCCCTCAAGGTTCAAGTGATTCTCCCACCTCAACCTTCCAAGTAACTGGTACTACAGGTGTGCGCCACCATGCCCAGCTAATTTTTTGTATTTTTTATTTTAATTTTTTTCGTAGAGAATGGGTTTGTAGAGGCTGGTCTTGAACTCCTGAGCTCAAGTGATCCATCCCCCTCAGCCTCCCAGAGTTCTGGGATTACAGGCATGAGCCACCATGCCTGGCTGATTTTTGCTTCTTAAAGTTAGGAGTGATAATTTTGGAATAATTAAAGACTAATAAATAATACTTATATAAAGCTATTTATTCAGTCAGCGAAAAGATATTTAGAGTCTTATTGTTTGTTTTAGCATATGTATTTGACAATCAGGTGCTTATTGAAAATCATTACACGAGTTAGTTTTTCATGTAATTATACTTAAGTTGAATTTCTTTGCTTTCCCCATCAACCTAAAGTTTCCATTTAAAATTTGCTCTATAATTAACAAAAGTGCCATATATCCTAATCTGGAATGTTTATAATTCAGAGGTCAAATTGGAAGAGGGAGGCCTTCAACAGTTACTCTTCCTTGCTAATTTTAGACTTTATGTCTGTGCCTCTGGTAGGGACCCAACACAATGAATGGCTCATGACTGGTAGTGTAAAGACTTATTTTCCAGTTTTTAGTATGTGTAGGCCAAATTGTATCACCCTTAGGCTATTTACTAGTTGATGATGATTTTGTCACCTTTAAAGAGCAGTTTTTTTTGTTTTGTTTTGTTTTTCAATAAATTTATTCAAGTACAGTTGATCTTTGAACCATGTTGGGGCTAGGGGAAGTGACCTCCTGTGTAGTTGATCTGCATATAACTTTTTTGGTTTCCCCAAAACTTAATTACTGATAGTGTTACTGATAACATAAACCGTCGATTTATACACATCTTGTGGGTTATATGTATTATATACTGTATTCTTTTTTTTTTCTGAGACGGAGTCTTGCTCTGTCGCCCAGGCTGGAGTGCAGTGGTGTGATCTCGGCTCACTGCAAGCTCCGCCTCCCTGGTTCACGCCATTCTCCTGCCTCAGCCTCCTGAGTAGCTGGGACTACAGGTGCCCACCACCACGCCCAGCTAGTTTTTTTGTATTCTTAGTAGAGATGGGGTTTCACTGGGTGTTAGCCAGGATGGTCTCGATCTCCTGACCTTGTGATCCGCCCGCCTCGGCCTCCCAAAGTGCTTGGATTACAGGTGTGAGCCACCACACCCAGCCATATACTGTATTCTTACAGGAAAGTTAGTTAAAAGAAAATGACATTAAGAAAATCATAAGGAAGAGAAAATATATTTACTGTTCATTAAGTGGAAGTGGGTCATCATAAAGGTGTTCATCCTCATTGTCTTCACACTGAGTTGGCCGAAGAGGAGGAGGAAGAGAGGAGTAGTTGATCTTGTCTGATGTGGCAGAGGCAGAAGAAAATCCACATATAATTGGACAACACAGTTCAAACCCATGTTGTTCAAGTTTACTGTATATACGTAAGTAAAAGTAAACAAATTGTAAGTTGAAGCTTAATGAAATTTCTCAAAATGAACATGCTTCACCATTTAAAAAAAAATAAAAAGGTTAGCCACAGACTGGTAAATATACTTGCAAAACATATACATACTTGGCAAAGGATATGAACCAGAATATATAAAGAACTCTCACAATTCAATAATAAGAAGACAAAGAACCCTGTCGAAAAATGAACAAATAATTTGAACAGATATTTTACCGAGGATATGTGAATGACAAATGCATGTAAAATCTGATGATGTTAAGTTTGGTAAGGATATGCAGCAACTAGAAGTTTCTTCTCATTCATTCCTGGTGAAATGGTATAGCCATTTTAGCAAACAGTCAACTAGTGTCTCATAAATTCAAACATATTCATTAGGATCTATAAATTCCATTCCTAAGTATATCTATAAAAGAAATGAAAGCACATGTCCACAAAAAGGCTAATGTTCATAGCAGCATTCAAAATGTTTTAATTTGCTTTTCATAAATAATGGTAGTGAGCTTTCATTGCTTGTTTGCTGTATGTATCCTTTTTTTAAAAGTAAGTGTCGACATCTTTTATTCTTTTTAAAATCAGTTTGCTTTTTTTTTATTGTTTAAAGAATTCATTATATATTTTGGGTTCCAGTCTGGTATGTGTTTTACAAATACTTTCTCCCAGTTTTTGGCTTAATTTCATTTTTATAACACTGTGTTTTGAAGAGCAGAAATTAATTTTGGTGATGTCCACTTTGCCCATTTTTTTCTTTTATAGTTTTTACTTTTTATATCCTGTTAGAGAATTTTTTGCCTAACTCAAAGTAACAATGATTTTCCCCGAAGTTTTCCTCTGGAAGTTTTATAGTTTTAGATTGTACATTTATGTCTGTGATTTGGTTTGAGTTAAATTTTGTATATAGTGTGTGATGTGTGGGTTGACTGAAGTTTTTGTGAGTTTTATTTATTTATTTATTTATTTTTGGGTTGTGGATATCTGATTACTGTAGCACTGGCTAGTGAAAAATTTTTCCTTCCCTATTAAATTGCTTGACATCTTTGTCAAAAATCAATTGACCATGTTTGTGTGTATCTGTTTCTGGAATTTCTGTCCTTTTCCATTGATCTAGGTGCTTTTACCACTGCCACACTATCTTGATTACTGTAGCTTTTTAGTAAGTCTTGAAATCAGGTAATATGAGTCCTCCAATTTTGTTTTGTTTCCAAATCGTTTTGACTATTCTTGATTTCTTTTTTGTGTAAATTTTAGAGTCATCTTGTTGATTTCCAAAAACGAAAGTCTACTCTAATTTTGATTGGGATTGCATTGAATCTATAGGTAAATATGGGAAGAACTGATTCCTTGAATATATTGCCTCCAAATCCATGAACATAGAGTATCTCTCTATTTACTTAAGTCATCTTTGGTTTATTTCATCATTGTTATCAATGATTATCTCATTAGTGATTATTTCATCATTGTTTTATAGTTTTCAGTAGACAGATTTTGCACAGTTTGTTAGAATTACTCCTCAGCATTTCATGTGTTTTGGGTGCTATTATAAATGGTACTATCTATCTATCTATCTATCTCTTTATCTATAACTTTTAGTTGTTTCATTGTTAATATGTAGAAACACAATTGATTTTTGTATATTGAACTTTGTATACTGCAGTCTTGCCAAGTTCCCTTATTAACTTAGGGAGGTTTCTTTGGTAGACTCTTTGGGGTTTTCTATCTATATATATAATCATGCTGCCTGGAATAAAGACAGTTTTACTTCTTCCATTCCATTTTTGCCTTTTATTTATTTTTCATGCCTTATTGCACTGGCTAGGATTTCTAGTATATGTTAAAAAGAGAAAGCATTCAGTCTTTCTTCATTAAACATGATGTTAGCTATATCTGTTTTAAAGAGGCTGTTTATCAGGTTGAGTAAGTTTCATTCTATTCCTGGTTTAGTAGAGCTTTTATCATTAATAGATGTTGAATTTTGCAAGTGATTTTTAAAATATCTATTGAGATTATATGGTTTTTAATCTTTATTTTATTGATAATGGTAAATTATGTTAATTTTTTGAATATTGAATTAGCCTGGCATTTCCAGGATAAATGCACTTCATCATGATGTAATACCCCTTTTATATGTTGCCAGATTTGGTTTCCTTATATTTTGTTAAAAGTTTTTGCATTTATGTTCACAAAAAATATGAAATTTCTAGTCTTTTTTTCTCTTAATCTCTTTGTCTGGTTTTGATATCAGGATATTGTATCTTATAAAAGGCTTTGGGAAGAGCTTTCTTCAATCTGGATTGTGCTGGTTAGTATAAACAAGAATATATAGTGTGCTATCTTTTATGTAAGAAAAAAGGGAAAATAACACATACATATATATGCTTGACTTTACAAAAAGAAGGGGTAGTGAGAGGTAATGGGGCCAGAGGTTTATGGGAGGCAATGACACTTCAAAGTAAACCTTTTTTTAAAAAATATAGTTTTGGCTTTTCATAGTGTGTTTTTTTCAGTATTCAAAATAAGGACGGAAATGGGGAGAATCCTAATCCACTGAAACAAATGAACCTGAATGTATTTTAAATTAGTATTGTACCCCCATTGAGGGAACAAAGAGTAAATCTAAGTAATTTATTACTAATAACATGGTGCTATAACTATAACCATATACCGTCAGCTTGGGTAGAGTTGAAAGAGACGGGTTGCAGGCAACTCTTGAACTCATTCTATTAGGTTTACTTTTCATAGTGATATGGACATAGCACTTCTGGGACTTTTTAGGTGTATTGGGGATTGAGTAAATGTTTTGAGGTTGTTGGAGTGAGGGTTCTCCCTGAAGAAGGAGAGACACACAAATATGGGGTGGGAGAAGGCATAATAAATTCTGTGCAGGTGGATTGGAATTGAAGGTATCAGTGAGTTCATGATGTTTTAAGCCAATATATATGTACATGTAATTGCATGTACAGACATATGTACATAAATTTGTATGTGTATTTGCATTCATACATTTCCTAGCTCTGTCCAGTAAAAGGGCTAAGAGGCAAAGAGCATACCTAACTCCAAATTCTTGGAATTAGAATTCTGTAATACCATTCTCAAGTCAAAGGAACCAGAGCTCCTCACAGAAATAGATGATTCTAGGATAGGGTAGGGCACATACCATGTGAGCCTGGATTATTTTTCAATGCGAGAAAATAGAAACTTTTTTTTTTTAAATAAGAACATGTCACAAGAAGCCTATTGGCATTCCTGCTAGCCAAATTTGAGATAATTTAATAATCAAGTAAGTATAATAATAAATTATGAACCATTAGAAATAGGAATAAATCCATAATGATAATAAAAATAAGTGAATGAATAGAGGAGAAAGGAAGGCTCTTTCTTCCAGTAGGACTCTGAGCTTTAGAGTTGGAAAAATCATTATTTTGTAGCTAGCGTAGTAGATATTAGGTAGGGCAAGAGTCATAACTAAATGAGGGAGAAATTTTGATGAGAAGCAGGATATTTTCGATGTCTTAAAGCATCACCCCACAGACTGTGTACTAATTGCAAGGGATAATATAGTGATTATGCATTGGTGCGATCCAACAACAATATGGGGCAGATGGTCACCATGTGACTCCAGATAGGACACCCTGAGGGGACACATCATCTCCTCTGTAGTATTCTGGCCAAGACTGCATAACCTGAATTTAATCACGAGGAAACATTCGACAAGTGCAAAATAAGGAATGTTCTACTTTAAAAAGCGGGGAGGGAACTGTGGTCCTTAAAAAAGTCAGTGTCATAAAAGAGAAAGAAAGGCTATGGAAGTGTTCCAAATTAAAGGAGGCATAGAAGAGAGAACCACTAACAGTACCTGACCCTAGACTGGATCTTATACTGAATGGGGGAAAATATACCATGCAGGATGTTATTGGATCAATTGAAAAATTAGAATATTGGAATATAGACCATAGAATAGATAAAAATATTGTAACAATGTTATAATTACTGAAGTTGATCACTGTGCTTTCCTTATAAGAGAAAGTATTGCTAAAGAAACACACATTGGAAGAAGAGGAGGAAAGGGCTTGATGTATATAGTTTATTCTCATTTGCTCCAGGAAAAAAAGTGTATGTGTGCATGTGTGTGTATGAATGCAAGAAAGTGTAAAAGCTCAGGAGCACAAATGTAAAAGTAAAGAGGTGACATTAGTAATGGCTGAATCTGAGTATGAGTGATTTTTGTATTTTTACTAACTTTTCTGTAAGTTTGGAATTATTTTCAAACAAAATATTGAAAACATTTAAAAATATCTGCCCTTTATTTTTAGACTTTCCTCATTTATAAAGAGCTTGGTTCTTTCTCTGGAACCAGTTTGGAATGAACATTTTTGTAATATTTTCCTGTGTGCTGGTGTTACGGCCCTGCATGCCAACCATTGTTAAATATGACAGCAGTTAGTGGGAAAGAAATGAGTCATTCTGTGGACGGCCAGAGTCTAAAACCTAATAATAAGGGGAACTATTTGTTAATTTATCAAATTTATGGAAGTATCAGTTACAATGTCTAATAAAATATTTTGAGGTTATCATCATTATCAATTATCTTTTGAAGAAATTTTAGAATGATTCTTTTACATCAAAAATCTAGTTGTTGTCCCCCAATTATTTAGATTATCTTGTTTTATAAACTAGGAAAGATTCCCATTTTTAGCCTTAAGAGAGTAACTGTTTATTTATTTTAAAAAATGTTAATTGGATGCCTGCTATGTGCCAGATTCTTTTTTAGGCATTGGAGCTGTAGCATTAAACTAAACAAAACCATTGCCCTCATAGATTTTACATTTTCATGGAAGGACATAGACAAATAGGAATAGAAGGGAAATACACCTGTCAGAGTATCGCAGTGCTTATATCCAAATAACCCTTATTTTACTTAATAATGGCCCCAAAGCATAAGAGTACTATGCCTAATTTATAAATTAAATTTTATCACAGGTATATATGCATGGGGAAAAATGTACTGGGGGTCTTGGAACATATCCAACCCCCAACCCACACAGATAAGGAAGGGTCTACTGTAATCATCTCTTGGAAAAGCATATAGGGAGAGAATAGCAAGTATAAAGGCCCCAAGGCAAGGATGTGCCTGGCCTGTAAAAAGAATGGCAAGGAAGTTGGTAGGAAATGAAGTCAGGGGTAATAGGGGCCAAATTTTATAGGTTCTTTTATGTCATTTTTTAAAAAAATGGCCTACTCTGAGTGAGATGGGAAGCCACTGGGAGATTTTGGGAGCAGATGTTATACGATTTATGATTTATGTTAGGTTGTCTGGATCACTCTGGCTACTTCGATGAGAAAGGACTTGAAAATAGGACAAGGGTAGAAGTTGGGAGACCAGTTACTAACCTATGGCAAAAATCCAAGTGAGGGACAATACAGACTTTGACCAAAATAGTAACTATGCAAGTGGCGAGAAGTGGTCAGATTCTCAGTATTTTTGTAGATAAAGTCAATAGTACTTGCCAGTGGGTTAGAGAAGAAGGCTAACAACCTAAACTTTAAAGGTCAGGGAGAAGAGGAGGAACTAGGAAAGAACGCTGACAAGGAGAGGTCGATGAGATAGGATGAAACCAATAGAGTTGGTTCTGGAAGCCAATAAAAGAAAGTGTATCAGCATGTGATATGTCATGCCAAATGCTGCAGATAAGTCAAGAAAGATGAGAACTAATAGGCCTTTGGATTTAACAATATTCAGGTAATTGATGACCTTGAATTTCAGTGATGTTGTGTAGTAAAAGTCTAATTGGAGTGTGTTAAATTTGAATGGAAGTATAATTGTAGACAAGGAGTACAAGCTTGTGATGTTTTGCTAAAAAAGGAATCAAAGATATTGGCCATCATCTAGAGGCATATAAGGAGTCGAGAGGTTTTGTTGTTTGTTTTCTAATGATTGGAAATGTATTTGCCAGTGATTTTGCTTTATTGGAAGGAGGAAATTGATGACGTAGGAGAGAGAAGTGGGATTTCCTAGAGCAATGACATTGGTGTTCTAGGCATGTAACATCTAGTAGCAAAGTAGAGGGGTTAGATTTTGATGTGAATCCTGAAATTCAGTGAAAGGGTACAGATTCAGGTGGGGAGGTAAATGTCATGAGAGATTCTGGAAGTTCTCTTCTGATTGCCTGTGGCTTTTGAATTTTTTTTTTCTTGTATGATGCATTTCATCAGATTACCTGGCAGGAGTCCTGGGAGGCCTTAGGAGGACTCTAAAACTGCTTGTTAAAAATTTTGAAAATTTATTTTTTGTTATTATTTAGTTTAACTGGCTACTTTGTATAAAGTTTGGAAAGAGACTCCACAAAATCTTTCTGGGCTATTTGGAAAAAAATTTTCTCATTGATCTTCAAGCCAAATAATTTTTTTTAAAAGAGACAGGGTCTTGCTATGTCACCCAGGCTGAAGGGCAGTGGCACGTTCATAGCTCACTGTGGCCTCAATCTCCTGGACTTAAGTGATCCTCCTGCCTCAGACTCCTAAGTACCTAGGACTACAGGTGTTTGCCACCATGCCCAGCTAATTTTTAAATTTTTTGTAGAGATGGGGTCTCACTATGTTGCCCAGTGTGGTATCAAACTGCTGTTCTCAAGTGATAGTCCTGCCTCAGCCTCACAAAGAGCTGAGATTACAGGCGTGAGCCACCACTCCCCACCCAAAGAGTATGATAAGACCCAGCACAATTTCCATTTTAAGTATTAATATAAGAAAACCAACTCAGAAGACATAGATAGGCCAGGGAGATATAGCTAATCATCTAGCTAAGTCTGGAATTCAGGTTTCTGTGGCATTTCAATGTACACAGTTTAATTTCAAAATTTAGTTTTTATACATATGTGCATATACATTTAAACTTAATCCTCTGACAATGTAACTGACTTACTCTAAATTGGAGGCAAGGAAAGCATGAAGTAAAAATATGTAAAATGTCAGGGTCAAAATGGGAACTTTAAATTGTGGTCTTAATTGTGACCTGTGTAAAACTTGATTCCTGAGAATTATACTATATTACATATTGTAGTTAGAATGTACTGAAATCATTTTGTAGCATTTGTTCTTGGCTGAGTTTATATTAAAATGAAAGATTGTAAATCTAGATTGATTTTATAATATTTTAGATTTCTGATACTTTAAGATGTCTGTAGATTACATTTATATTAAAAAATGGGTTGAGGAAATCATTGGTACTCTAACTTGCTGTTGCCAGTTTTCTGGCCGCCTGCTATTTTTGCTTCTGCTCCCTTATCTCAACAATTGCCTGTTTTTGGTCAAGACTGGTAAAACCAAGTAATGGGCATCCAAATACATATAAAATACACATGAAACAATATGAAAATGGCAAATAAGTCAGGAGGAAAATGGGTAAAATATATGAATAGGCATTTCATACGAGAGAAAATATGAGATAGCCAAGAAACATGAAGAAATACTCAGCATCATTAATTGACAAGGAAGTGCGAACTAAGACCACAATTAGATGCCATTCTATACCCAGCATTAAAAAGTTGGCATTACTACACGTTGGAGAGGCTGTAGATGTGGTAGTTCTGCTACTACCTTTTGGTAGTGAAGTTATAAATTGCCAAACACACTTTAGGGAAAGTAAAAATTGGCATCATCATGAAAAGTTAAATTTAAGATTACTCCCTAACTCTTAGGCATGTACTTAAGAGAAACTCGGACACATGTGGAACATGACACATGTCAGAACTTTCATAACATAAATGTTCATAATAGCAAAACAAAACTTGGAGGGGAAAATAAGCTATTGACAAGAGAACGGATAATTAAATTGTGATATATTTGTACAATGCAGTATTATTCTGCAGTGAAAATGAATGAACTACAACTATATGCAACAACGTTGGGTGAGTTTTAGAAACGTAATATTGAATTAAAAAACCAAATCCTACAAGACAGGAGGATAGATTTTGATACCGTTTTGATAGATTTCAGAACCAAGCAAAATGGAACACTATATTGTTCAGGAAGATGTACCTATGTGATATACTGTTTAAAAAGCAAAGTAATGATAAATACAAAATACAGGATTGCGGTTACAGGGGGTGGTGGGGATAAGAGAGGTGGAGCATGGAATGGAGGAGGAACAAATTAGTAGAACAATACCAATAACTTACCCTTAGGTTCTTGAGTTGGGTGACAGGTATCTGGATGTTCATTCTATTATTTTGCTTTGAATTTAAAATGTTCCAAATAATTGTTGTATGTAATAATTAATATATTAAAAGATAAGCTATAATCTGAAGTCATAATTTAGGAGACATGTCATTAATTCTGCCTACTCTCTACTGCCACCTGAATTCCTAACAGCACTCAGTATTTCACTAGAATTATCTTGTTTTAAAGCTTTCTGTCTCATTAAGCTTGTATGTATCTGCCATCTGGCAAGTGACTCAGTAAAAACTTATTGGATGAATAACTAGATCAATGATTTGAGGAAATAATTCAGGATATTTCTTAGAAACTACCCAAGAGGTAGACTTTTAAAGAGTACTTTTCCTTAATCTGATTTAAAAAATGAGCAAAAGATCAGAATAGACATTTCTCAAAAGAAGACATACATATGGCAAACAAACATGCATTAAAAGGTGCTCAGTGTCATTGATCATCAAAGAAATTCAAATCAAAACCGCAATGAGGTATCAACTCGTCCCATTAAAATGGCTTTTATGCAAAAGACAGGCAATAACAAATGCTGACAAGGATGTGGAGAAAAGGGAACCCTCGTACACTGTTGATAGGAATGCAAATCAGTACAGACATTATAGAGAACAGTATGGAGGTTCCTAAAAACCTGAAAATAGAACTGCCATGTGATCCAGCAGCCCCACTACCAGGTTTATACCCAAAAGAAAGGAAATCAGTGTATCAAAGAGATATCTACACTCCCATATTTATGAGCACTGTTACCAATAACCAAGATTCGGATGCAAACTAAGTGTCTATCAGCAGACAAATGGATAAAGAAATTGTGGTATATACACATTGGAATACTATTCAGCCATAAAAAAGAATGAGATCCTGTCATTTGCAACAACATAGATGAAACTGGAGGACATTATGTTAAGCAGAATAAGCCAGGTGCAGAAAGACAAACTTTGCATGTCTTCACTCATTTCTGGGAGCTAAAAATTAAAACAATTGAACTCATAAATAGAGAATAGAGTGATGGTTACCAGAAGCTGGGCAGGGTAGTGGGTGGGGCAAGAGCGGGGATAGTTAATGGGTTCAAAAGCATAGTTAGAAAGAATGTATAAGATCTAGTATTTGGTAGCACAATAGGGTGACAGTTAATAATTTGTACATTAAAAAATAAGTATAATTGGAATGTTCATAACACAAAAAAATAATAAATGCTTGAGATGATGGACACCCCATTTACCCTGATGTGATTATTACACATTGTATGCCTGTATTAAAACATCTCATGTACCCTATAAATCTGTATATTTACTATGTACAGGTAAAAATTAAAAATAAAAATTAAAAAGAGGGATTTTTCTCCTACTTCTAGCTGGGTTTCTGTAATAGAACCAGCCAGGTAATGAGATAAACCAGCAAAACTAGGTTATTATTGGTTAGGTTTTTGAATAATTACCTGTCTATTGAAGGCAATATTGCCTTCAATGATTTTGAATGATTTTGTTTGAACTATAATAATACGATTAAAGAGTTTAACAAATAAAGTTACATAACAAAAACACATAGCTCATCTGAAAAGGCGAATGTCATTAAAGATGATGCTATTCTTTGGTATAACATTTTAGAGTTAGAAGGCCCCTAGGAATTAGTCCAGGCTCCTCCTTTTTGAATTAAAGAACTTTAGGACCAAAATGTGTTTGACTACACTATAGAACTTGTTGAGAGCAGAGTTACTAGAGGCCTAAGAAACTAGATCTCATGATTCATATGCTAATGTTTTCATATTGAAATATTGACTGGTAAATGAAAGGAAACATTTATATATCCTGTATAAGGCAACCCAAATAACTTGAGACTAGAGTATGACCTTTGAATGAGGCAGCAATTTTTAAAATTTTAATTTAGAACAAATCAATTCAGCTCTATACCGCATTTATCTTGAGATGCATGAAAAATACACCTAGAGAAATAGCATGAATTTTTTCTCCAAGAAAAGAGGCTGTGTGGTCTGTGATATACAAATGAGTACTGGACTGGAAGTGGTAAGGGTTGAGTTCTGAATCTGGCTCTAACACTAAGTAGCTGTGTTGTCATTGATTCTTTGCATAATTTCTCCAGGTCAAAGTTTCCTTATCAGTAAAATGAAGAAGTGAAATCAGATGGTCTGTAGAGACCAGCTTTAAATAACTTTATATTTTTCATGGATCTTTAATAGCAAATTTAATCTATTTTAAATAAAGTGCTATATGTTCCATTATTAAACAAGCAAGACAACAAGTAAGGAGGTAAAGAGAATCAGTAGAAAATGAATGACTCATGATGTATATTCTGAACATAAACTGAGTTTTCTTTTCCTTTCCTTCATCAGGTATAATACTTCTCCACGTCTGCTTCAGGAAGAAAGTGCCTGCCATTCTTATCATTTCTAAGCAGGTTCATGCCAGCCCAGAACAGAGAATCAGGTCAGTTTTAGGATTTTTTTTTTGTTGAAAAAGGAGCCAGGAACAGAATTGTGATTGTCTTTGCTGCGTTATTGTGCAGCAGCAAGACCAGTGACTTGTGATTCAGGAGTTGGGTTTCAACCGTCCTTTACCACTGATGACTGGTAAGCTTGGGCAAGCCTTCTTTGCTTGTTGGCTCTTAGTTTTCTGCACCAAAACAGGGCTACATTAGAATAAGTTATCTTCAGTTTCAATTTTGGCTTTAAATCAATATTACTTTTCTTGTAGGTACCTACAGATGATGAAAGTCATATTTTTAAAGCATAATTTCCTCTTGTTTTTTCCTGGAAAAATGTAGTTGTTTTTAAAGCACATGCTTTGAAACTCTTTAATCCATTGTATTGTAGTTTCTTTGAGTGACTAGTTTAAGGATTAAACTGTCTTGTGAGGCCCTTGAGAGTACTGTGGCTACCCTTAGTTTTAATGCTTTACTTTACTTTGTTGTTATTAAAAAGTTTATTTTTTACATGAGGTTATTAGTTTTTCAATAATGTTCTTCAGCTTTAGAGAGGGTACCTTTTTGATCATGTTGTTTCTCTGTTGATTGCAAGTAATCAAATTATTTTAACCAAAAATGGGAAAACTTTTGGAGTGTCCCAGGAGATGCCACAGGATCCAAGAACAGAAATGCAGCTGGACTGCAAATAAGAACCCAGGACTAAAGACAATCAGATTTCCCGCAGGCTCTCAGCAGAGTGTCTCTTCTCTGCATGTTCATCTCATTCTTCTTTCTCTCTTTGGGAACTAGCTATCATCACATTGCTGTTCTTTGTGAGGTGAAGCCTGCTTGCCACTGCCTCCCAAGCATAATACCTTATAATCCAGATCCCAAAGAAAGGCTAACTAAGCACTCAATACTGATTTGCCGGAACAGACTCTGATTCCTCAATCAGATACCTTTAGACAAATTGTGGCTTAGGGCATGGTAATTTAAAAGCTTTGCATTGGCTTTCTTTGTTTTAAAGACTGTTCTCTGAAAAAGGTCTCACTTATTCCTACTGAAATGTGGATAACTAATAATAAGATATAGTAGTACTTCTTCCACATGTGCGATAGTCTCCCCTTATCAGAGAGGGATATGTTCCAAGACCCCCAGTGGAAGACTGAAACCACAGATACTAGGGAACCCTATGTATACTATGTTTTTTCTATACATACTTGCCTGTAACAAAGTATAATTTATACATTAGACACAGTAAGAGATTAACAATAATAACTACTAATAAAATATAACAATTATAATAACAAATATTGCAGTGAAAGTTATGTGAATGTGGTTTCTATCAAAATATCTTACTGTATATAATATTTTTGGATTGTGGGTAATGAACCGTGGAGGGTGAAATCATGGATAAAGGGGGAATATTGTAATACTTTAAAGTTATATCCATGTTATTGCATTCATCTGTGTTACCCAGAATTAAAAAGGATAAAACTTCTGATCCTTTTAATGCTGGGTAGTATTTCATTGTTTGGATAGTCCACAGTTTGTATATCCTTTCATCAGTTGATGGACATTTATTTGACTATCATGAATAAAATGGTACAGTGCAATAAGATATTTTGAGAAAGGAAACTTTTTTCATTTGACTTTTTGAGAAAAAAGATTTGAATATAGGAGACATACTATTAGGTACCCAGCTGAGCTGCCAACTGTGATTTTGGGTAAATTACTTTTTCTCTGTGCACCTCAATTTATTCAGATCCGGCATCGCCACGTACTAGCTTTGTGACCTTTACTTCTGGACATCAATTTCTACATCTTAAAAAAGGAGTGGATGATAGTGGTAGCTCATGGTATTATTATAAAGAATTAATGTATGTGTTCCTGGCACATCATTATTATTATCATCATCAATTTCTGAAATGAGTAGATTAGATTATATGACTGCAGAGGTCCCAGCTCACTAAAATATCTGTGGTCCTAAGATTTTCCGGTATGGACTAATATCTTTTTTCTTAATAAAGACCTTTGGGCATCTACTTGAGTCCTAAATGGAGGCTAATTTTGGTATTGTTGATAGAAGTTATTTTGAATTAAGTATATGTGTGTTATCTATTGCCACATATATTAGTTTGTGAGGGCTGCTGTAACAAAGTACTAAGAAGTGGGTGGCTTAAATGACAGGAATTTATGGTCTCACAGTCTGTATGCTGGAAGTCTGACGCCAGTGTTGCAGGGTTGGCTCCTGAGGCCTGTGAGGGAAGGATTTGTTCCAGTCCTGTTTTCTTGGCTTTTAGGTGGCCATCTTTTCCCTGTGTCTCTTTGCACGGTCTTCCTTCTATGCATGTCTCTTGTGTCTAGATTTTTTTTTTTTTTAAGCGAAGTTTCTCTCTTGTTGCCCAGGCTGGAGTGCAGTGGTGCGACCTTGACTGACTGTAACCTCCGCCTCCTGGGTTCAAGCGATTCTCGTGCCTCAGCCTCCCAAGTAGCTGGGATTACAGGTGTGCATCACCACATCCAGCTAATTTTTTGTATTTTCAGTAGAGACAGGGTTTTGCCATGTTGGCCAGGCTGTTCTCGAACTCCTGACCTCAGGTGATCCACCCGCCTTGGCCTCCCAAAGTGCTGGGATTATAGGCGTGAGCCACCACGCCCGGTCCTGTGTCCAGATTTCTAAGGACCCCAGTCATACTGGATTAGAGCCCACCCTGATGGCCTCATTTTAACTTGATTACCTCTTTAAAGACCCTAGCTTCAAAGGTCACATTTTGAGGTACTGACGGTATGGATTTCAACGTATGAATTTGGGGGGGGGGGCGCAATTCAATCTATTGCCCTACATAACAAATTACCCCAAAACTTCTCAGATTAAAACTGCAAACATTATCTGTTTTTGTTGATCGGGAATCTGAGTGCAGCTTAACTGAGTCCTCTGGCTCAGGATCTCTCACAAAGCTGCACCTAACATATCTGCTAGGCCTGTGGTGTCATCTGAAGGTCCTGGGGGAGGATCTGCTTCCAATTCAATGATGTGATTATTGGCAGCATTTAGTTCTTCACTGATTGTTGAACTAAGGGACCCAGTTCCTTAGTGGGCTGTTTTTGAGAAGCTAATTTCAGTTCCTTGCCACTTGAGCCTTTACTGTAGGGCAGGTCACAACATGGCATCAACTTCCATTAGTGCAAGCTAACAAGAGACGGTGAGCAAGATGAAAGGCCCAGTGTTTTTGTAATATAGTCTCGAAAGTGGCATGCATTCACTTTTTCCATATTCTGTTTATTAGGAGTGATTCACTAGGTCCAGCCCACATTCAAGGAGAGGGGATTACACAAGGGTGTGAATACCAGGAGGTAGGGTCATTGGGAGCCACTTTTGAGGCTGTACTAGTATGTATAAAATGAGATATGTTTTGGTCCTGTGTAGACTTATTCAAGTGGCGTGTGACTTTTCACTTCGCTACGTTATTAACATGATATTTCTCATAAAATATGCAGAGGTCTAATCTCATTTCCCTAAAAAAATTTAAGAGTAAGAGGTCTGAGGTTATTAAGATTACCTTAATTTTATCAACTTGTTTGTGGTCATTTTCAACAACTAAGGTATTATAAAGTATTAGGAATTAGCTGCCATATGTGAGGATATTTAATACACCAAACTGGCCAAGGGTACTGCTCAATTACAGTTACTTTTACAGAATGTAGTGGTACAATCATATATACCATATCATCCAGCTAGCAGTTCTTACCATTTACACTGATGGAAAAATCCATAGTGTTTTAGTCAGGGTTACCCGAGAGACAGGCTATCGATTGAATATATATTTAGATAGTGATATATATGAGAAAGAATTTATTAGGGGAATTGGCTTAGTCAATTATGGAGACTGAGAAGTCTCACCATAGGCTGTCTGGAAGCTGGAGAACCAGGGAAGCTGGTAGCATGACTCAGTCCAAGTCCAAAGGCCTCAGAACCAAGGAAGCCAATGCTGTAACTCTCAGTCCAAGGCCGAGGGCTCGAGAGTCAAGCACGGAGGAGGGAGAGGGGTTGATGCTAGTCCCAGAATCCAAAGGCTAGAGAACAAAGAGCTCTGATGTTCAGGGACAGACGATGAAGGGCATCCTGGCTTCAGAAAAGAGGGCAAGTTCACCCTTCTTCTGCTTTTTTGTTCCATCTGGGTCCCCAGCTGATTTGACAGTGCCCACTCATATTGAGGGCAGATCTTCCTTACTCAGTCCACTGACTGAAATGTCAATCTCCTTTGGAAACACCTTCACAGACACACCTGGGACACCCCAATCATTCTAAACAAATTCCATACCACCTGGTTTTGTCTTTCAGCAGAAATGGGATGAGCTCAATGCCTGCTGAAGCATTGAGAATAATTACTGCTTTACCAGCTATCTGGGTATATTAGTCCATTCTCACATTGCTATGAGAAAATACCTGAGACTGGGTAATTTATAAAGAAAAGAGCTTTAATTAATTCACAGTTCCACATGGCTGGGGAGGCCTCAGGAAACTTACAATCATGGCTGAAGGCACATCTTCACAGGGCAGCAGGAGAGAGAATGAATGCCAGCAGAGGAAATGCCAGACACTTATAAAACCATCAGATCCCCTGAGACTCACTCATTATCACAACAACAGCATGGGGGAAACCTCCGCCATGATCCAATTACCTCCACCTGGCCCCGCCCTTGACACATGGGGATTATGGGGATTACAATTCAAGGTGAAATTTGGGTGGGGACACAAAGCCAAACCATTTCACTGGGTATCCCTTAATCCAGTCATGTTGATACTCCAAATCAACCACCATCATATTTGGAAACTTATTTTATGGGTTCTTTCTGTAATTCTTCTTATGGAAGGCTGTATAGTTGTGTTTCTGGAAGTGAAATTTGACCTAGTTGGCATTATCTGTATGAGTTAATCTATAAGGTGTGTGTGTGTCTGTGTGTGTGTGTGTAACATATGGAATAACATTTCTTTAGTAAATTTAGTCTAAGAATATCTCAAGTTCATGGAGAAAAGGTTGTTTTTAAAAACTTCATTAGGTTAGATGGAGCATGACTTCTTAAGCATATGATGACATGATTTTTACGTGATTTTACAAGTGGTTTATTTTTATAAGTAGTTGTTTAATTATTATTTGTGAATTACTGTAAATAGAATACATTTAATAGTAAACAAACACCTCATTGTTAGAAATGTTGAGACATTTTTAACTCTCACTAGATTTGGACGTTTAAGTCATAGTATACAGAAATTAAGTAAACATAATTTAATAGGATTTCTACGTGGTATTCCTTTTTACTTGTTAGCAGGGTTAGCAGAAATCATACAAAAATTTAAGACTTTCTTTTGGTATGCCTGTAGTGGACTGGGGAAGGCATTCTTATCTTTGAACAATTGATAATTTTTTTCTTAGAAAAAACTCTGTTGAATTGATTATGGCAGAGGGGAAGGTCTGTTGAATTGATTATGGCAAAGGGGAAGGTTTAAGCTTATGCTCTTAGGATGCTGTTACCAGGATACTGAGCTGAAAGTTCTGTTTTATAATATACCTCCTTTTTATTACGAAAACTTCTGGAACTGCATAGATTTATGACTAGATTTTAGGCTTTAGACTATTTGAGGAAAATAATGTTGCAAATTTTATGATTTAGAAAAACATCACCCAGAAATGAAAGTCTGTGTCAAATGTATTAGAAAGAAAACATGTGTTGAGAGAGTTTAAAAAGCTGGAAGGGAACTCAGGAAAATGTAAATGAGTAAAGATACTTGATGTGAAGTTTAAATTACAAAGTATAAAAAGTTTTTATAATCAGAAAAAAATACGTAGCAAAATAAAATTGTATTACTAAATAGAGTTTTGGGATTTTAAAATCTAATTCAATTTTCTTTCATTTGAAGAAGTGATACTTAAAATTTCAGTCTTAGAAACACTAATCTTTTTAATCACCACTTTATCTTCTGTTGTGAAACTTTTTTCCTTTTTCTATAGACTTTTGATTTATTAAATAGAGCCTGATGTTTGTATGGCCACATCACATTGATTTTTTTTTTTTTTTTCTTTTAGAGACGGAGTCTCACTCTGTCGCCCAGGCTGGAGTGCGGTGGCGCGATCTTGGCTCACTGAAAGCTCTGCCTCCCGGGTTCAAGAATTGCTTGAACCCGGGAGGCAGAGGTTGTAGTGAGCCGACATCACGCTATACTCCAGCCTGGGCGACAGAGAGAGACTCCATTTCAAAGAAATCTGAAAACAAGTATAGACTGCCCAATGGTTTAGTCTCTCCCTTACCTTTTTAAACCCAGTTTTATATTTTGAAAAATTTAAACATGCAAAAATGTTTAATGAATAATACAGTGAACATCCAAACACCTTCAACCTTGATTCAATAATTACCAACATTTTGCCACATATATTCTTGTGGAATATGTACATTTTAGAGAGGGGTGTGGCACTGCTGGACCATTTGAAAGTAATTTCAGACCTTATGACATTTCACTCTTAAAAACTTCATACTTTAATATGCATCTCCTAGAAATAAAGGACGTTGTTTACATGACCACTGTATTAATTACCATATGTAAAAAAGAACAATAATACTGTGTTAAATTCAGTCCATATCTTAATTCTCCAGTTGTCCTCAAAACTTCCTTTATAGCTTTTTTCAAACAACAATCTAGTTAAGGTCCACATATTGCATTTGCTTATGTGCTGTTTATTCTTTAAAAAATCTAGATTAGTTTCCCTTATCCTGTTTCTCTTTCACTCTTCCTCTCTTTTTCTTTCTCTCTTCCTTTCTTTTTTAATAATACTGACTTTTTGAAGAGTCCAGACCAACTTTCTTGTAAAAATCCACATTGTCCATTTGTTTCTTCCTGGGTCTGCCTAGTGAAGTCAGAAAGTATTCCTGCCATGGGAGCAGCAAGCCACATGAGATTTTTTTTAAAAAACTTCCCAGGGCATTAGATAGTGACTAGAAGTAGTTATTACTTGGTTGAAGTTAACAAATGAGAACAATTAAGAGAGGTTTCTTTGAGGCTAATAGAGTAGAAATTGGAAAAATAATAGGAAAAGAAAGAGGTTAAAGGAAATGCTTATGGCACTGAGGCATGATGCTAGGTGAGTTACTTAATAAAGAGGGAAGAGACTTGGAAATCACAGTCCTCAGCACCTAGAGGGTTAGATGTCCATTCTGTGCTAGCTAAGTAGCTGAATGAATGAAGAAACACCTTTAGATTTTCTCTTCTGAGCTTAACTGCTACTGGAAAAGCAAAGGAGATTGTGAGCATTAAACCTTTTGTAGGTATGAGGTTTTTCATGGAAGTATACATGTAATAGTATATTGTACTGGTTCTTGCAAATTTTCAAGGGCAAATTTGGAGCCATGATCTTACACTTTGGCTATATCTTTATGCTTTATAATGATTGTGTAGGTTCTGTAGTTGGAAGGTACTATAGTAGGAAAAGTTTTAGAAGCAGAGGATTTTAGTTTTAAATGATGTTCATACCACATACTAGCTAAGCAGCCTTGTTCAAGTATACCTTTTCCTCTGAATGTTTACTCCTTTATGATGATGGAACAACAATGTGTAGGTGAAAGAGCAGAGGATTGAGTATAAGGCAGACAGACCTGTTTCTAAAGCCTGGTTTTTCTGGTTTCTAGCATGTGACCTTGGGCTACTTAACTTCTCTTATTCTCAATGTTCTGTTTTGTAAAAATGGAATTGATAGTATCTACTTCATGTGATTGTTGTTAGGATTAAAGAGATAGTTCATGTAAAACGCTGAGTGGAGCCTGGCATATGGTAGGTACTTGGCATATGTTAGCTTTCTTCACACAGGGTTATTGTGAGGATCAAGTTAAATGGTCAACTAAATGTGAAATGCCTTTGTAAAGAATAAAGTCCTACACAGAAAAATTAGCCAATGCCTAGGAAATAGAATATGGATATAAAGCCGTGTATGTATTTCTATTCATTTTACATTGTAGAAACCTCTGCAATGATAGTATCCTAAGAAATATTGTAAACGCTAGAAAATAACTTTTCAGAAATCTGCTTTTTAAGAAAATAGATCTAATTGTTAGGTATTAAAACATTGCAATTATTTTTTTTGTATAGAAAAAAGATTCCTTTAATCTCTTAGGGCTGTGCCCTAAATCACTGTTGCCTATGTGAATGTGTGTATTTATAGCCTGAGTGCTTCCCCCATTAATGTAGCTTGTAGGAATTTATTTATATAAATGTTTCTATTAACAAAAAAATAAGCTGATTACAGTTTTTGCAGTTTGGCATTAGGGAAAATAATATATAACTCACAATCATGGCTATTTGCAGCCTTGACCTCCTGGGCTCTATCGATTCTCCCACCTCAGCCTCCCCGAATAGCTGGTACTATGGGTGCACACTACCACAACTGGCTAATTTTTGTATTTTTAGTAGAGAAGGGTTTTCACCATGTTGGCCAGGCTAGTTTTGAACTCCTGACCTCAGGTGATCCACCTGCCTCAGCCTCCCAAAGTGCTGGGATTACAGGCATGAGCCATCATATCTGGCCTGAAAGTTTTATTTTCATGCTTGGGGCATGGTGTATAGAACCAGCTACTAAGAATGTTTATTAGCATTAGAGATTGATATGAACATTATTAAGAATCTCTTCCCCTGTAGGAGAGGCAAAATTTCACCTCTGTCCTCTTAGGGTAATAGTTGGGCCCAAGAATTAAATTGCCATTAACAGGAGAAAAGCATACACATTTATTTAATAAAAGCTTTATGTGGCATAGGAACCCTATAAAGAAATGAAGACCCAAAGAAGCAGTGAGAGACAAACACTTATATACTGAATTGGACAAAAAGCAGTAACTTGCAAAAAATGTAATAAGGTGGGGGGGCTTGGGCTAGGGTAGTCAAGTGGGCAGAGAAGTGGTTGGGATGTTAAGAATTTGTGTAACAATTGTTTGTCCAGATTTCCTTTGGCCTCATCTTTTTATTCTTGATGATAAGAATGCTGTTTTCTTTGTAGTATAGGAAGGGCATCTTTCACATGGGAATTTCATCTCCTACTTTTAAGAAACAGCATGGTCAGAATGATCTTCTTGTACCTGCTGTTTTTTTAAGTGCCTTTAACTTAAATAGTCAATATGCCAGAATGGCATTTTGGGGTGTCATATTCTTAACTCATTTACCCCAAAAGACTATGATGATTTTGTCCTCATTATTTGCAAACCTAAAGAGACAGGCTAACTGCTTTTCTAAGTTCAAAGATCTCACAGCATGTGTCCCAGCTGAATAGAAGATAGGCCAAACACTTCGATTTTTAGCTATCATTTAATGCTTTAAGCAATATACAAAGAGTAAATTAAATAACTCTGTTGCATATGGGATTCCTTGGCTGGGTGTGGTGGCTCCCGCTTATAATCCCAGCACTTTAGGAGACTGAGGCAGGGGGATCACTGGCATGGTGGTGCACACCTGTAGTCTCAATTACTCAGAAGGCTGAGGCAGGAGGATCCCTTGAGTCAAAGAGGCTGAGGTTGCAGGGAGCTTTGATGGTGCCACTGCACTCCAGGCTGAGCAGAAGAGCGAGACCCTGTCTCAAAAAACAGCAGCAAAAACAACAAAACAGACTTTGCCTCGGTAAAAGCAATAAGATTAAAAAAAAAAAATGTCTTCCTGTACTGTTGGCCATATTTACATGCTTAGACCTATAGAAATCCAACAAAAGAGCCCAGCTATAGACTGAATTGATCTTTGATCCTTTACTCTGCCTGTCCTGACACACAACTACTCACACTTACAATTTAATAAATTAAAGTTTAAAGAACAAGTGTTATTTGTTATAAAAAGACTAAATTAATGTGATGATTAAAACAACTTTTTGTGGGGAGAGGAGGCCGTAGTGTGACATGTTTATTGCCTCTGTTTAGTTTGTTTTCTTTTCCTTCTGTAAACTGGAAAAGAAATATAAGAAGCAAGCTTTTTGTCCTGAGAAGACTCTTTAATGTATATTTGGCTATCTGTTGTATTTTATATTCTCAGTGTAAAATATCAATAAATGTTTATATTTATAAAATCTAGTTGTTGTTATTGTGCAACTTGACATTCAACATAAAAGTTACTTAAAACCTTATACTGATAGCTAAAATCTACAGGTGTAGGTGCTCAAGTAGAATACTAGAATCCGGATACAGATATATATTGTGTAACTTTATGTATATTATACATATATGCTATATATGTGTATATTTTTATATACAATAAATGTATAGTTATATATTGATGCCTTGAACTGAGAAATTGAAAATCTAAAAATGAAAGCAGGCCAGGTGCGGTGGCTCATGTCTGTGATCCCAGCACTTTGGGAGGCCAAGGCAGGTGGATCACGAGGTCAGGAGTTGAAGACCAACCTGGCTAAGATGGTGAAACCTTGTCTCTGCTAAAAATGTAAAAATTAGCCGGGCGTGGTGGCAGGTGCCTGTAATCACAGCTACTAGGGAGGCTGAGGCAGAGAATTGCTTGAACCCAGGAGGTGGAGGTTGCAGTGAGCTGGGATTGTGTCACAGCACTCCAGCCTGGGCGACAGAGTGAGACTCCGTCTCAAAAAAAAAAAAAAAAAAAAAAAAAAAAATGAAAGCAATAGAGACTTGGTTCCATATTTGCTTATAAATAATAGAATATATATTGATTATGAATAATACTGTCCTCAAGTAACATTTGATAAAATGTCAGATATTGATAAAGACATATAAAAATACTTTTCTCTGATTATGCTTGCTATTTCATTAGGAATAATTGAGAGAGGGTTAGTTAATTCTTAAAATGCTAACATTTTAACACTAGACAAATCTCTGTTTTACTAATAGAGTTTTCTTCTTTTCCCTTACCTTTTTAACTTTTTCCTTCCCTTCTTTTCAATTTTCTACTTTCCCATTTATTTTCCTTCCCTTCTTTTCCTTAAATTTCTTTTCCCTTCTATGCTTTTAATTACCTTTCCTTCTTCCAGGGTTCTTATGTTATTTGTATAAAAGGCACTGAACATATTGCTTAATAGCAGTTGCTTTAAGATTGGGTCCGAGAAGGCTCTTGCAGTTGTTTTATGACTATATCAATTATGTTATACCAGCTTTTTAAATCTCTGGGCAGTAATTTTTGCTTATTTGCTTCTGAAGATCCAAAATAATATATTTTATTAGTGTTGGGTTTTTTTCAAGTTAATCCATTAAGTTCTTTCCTACCTATATTTAGGACAAATTAAGAAATACAGGGAGTGACATATTCAAATTTCATTGGGGGAATTCACTCTGTAGCAGTGTGTAGAATGATTTAGGGCCAAGACTGGAGGAACGGTGATCAGTAGTAGATTGTAGCAGTAAATCAGACGAGAAATGCTAAGTGATTAGGTCCTACACCAATTTGGTATGATTGGAGGAAAAAAAAGGTCATATTAATGATATTCCCTTAGGAAATTCTCCTTTGGGTTGTGGGAGTTATAGAACCGGAAGGAAATGATGAAACTATTGAGTAATCTAGGTTAACTGTCAAGTTTCTAGTGGGATGACTAGTTGGCACTGGTGCTGTTCAGCTGTGTAGGAATTATAAAAGAAGGAACAGATTTTAGGGAGAAAAATAATGTGTTAGTTCCTGAATATAATGATTTTTTTGGAAATAATTTCAAACTTGCATAAAAGTTGCAAAAATAATATAAAGAGCATCCAGTTGCCCTTTATCCAGATTCATCTATTGTTAGCCATTTGTCCCAAATGCTTTATTACTCTTTCTCACTTTGTGCATGTTTATATGTATATATTTGTAAACATACATGCATGCATACATTTATTCTTTTCATTTAGCCATTTGAGAGTTACATTGAACATATTATGGCCCTTTAGTCCTAAATGTTTTTGTGTAGATTTCTAAGAATAAGGATCATCTCTTATATTAGCAGTCTAAAAACTTAAGTAGACTTAACATTCTTACATTACTTTAATCTTCCGTTTTCTAATTTTGTTATCTGAATAAGTGCCTTCTATGGCAGTTTTCTTCTCCTCCAGTGTAGGAATTAGTCAATGATCATATCTTGCGTTTATATTTGATGTCTTTTTAGTACCCTTAATCTAGAATAATTCTTCAACCTTTATCTTTTATTATATGACATTTTAAAAGTACACAGTCATCCTTTCTCTCCCTTTTCAGAAGTTATTTTTTGTTCGTTTTCTTATTTTTTGTTCCTTATTTTTTATTTGTTTGATGTTTCTGTTGATAAGATTTTAGGTTATACATTCCTGGATGGAATATTACATAAGGAATATATCTTTCTGAGCATATCATATCTATAGGTACTGACTGTTCTGCCGTTCATTTGTGATGGAAATTTTGACCATTTCATTGTCTGATTTTTCCACTATATAGTTACTATGTGTATTAGTTCATTCTCACGCTGCAATGAAGAAATACCTGAGACTGGGTGATTTATAAAGGAAAGAAGTTTAATTGACTCACAGTTCCACATGGCTGGGAGGCCTCAGGAAACTTACAATCATGGTGGAAGGGGAAGCAAACACACCTTTCTTCACTTGGAGGCAGGAGAGAGAAGTGCCGAGCAAAAGAGAAAAAGTCCCTTATAAAACCATTAGATCTCTAGAGAACTCACTCACTATCATGAGAACAACATGGAGGTAACCACCCCTATGATTCAGTTACCTCCCACCAGGTCCCTCCCATGACATGTGGGGATTATGGGAACTACAATTCAAAATGAGATTTGGGTAGGGACACAGCCAAACCATATTACTACATGTTCCTTGCAACTAATAAAGGGTCTACTGGGAGGGAGACACTTTAAGACAGTTAAAATATACAGCTCCTCATAACATTTCATCCCCTGTATGTAGCATCCATTGATGATACTTGCTTGAATCAATCTTTACTATTATAGTTGCAAAATAATGATTTACTCTCTCTGCATTTACCAGTCATTACTCAGCATTCTACTGTAATAGGAGCCCTTCTATTTATCTATATGTATTGTTTTATTTATTGTTGATTTGAATTTATGGTTTCCTATTTTTCCCTTAATGCTTAACATTTCACTACTGTTAAATATTTTGGAGCTAAAATTGTTCCAGTCCTCACCAGTGGCATCTTCTTCATGCTGGCTCTTGTATCCTTTTACATGTTCCCATCATTTTTTTAAGCAAGTCATTAGTTTCACTCTTTATAATAAGTTTCATCTTGTGCATTTATTGCCCAGCACTGGAGTCAGTCATTTCTCCTAGGAGCCTTAGTCCTTCTTATTGGGTAATAGTATTAGAAACCAAGATCTGGATGCTTTGGTATATATGTTATTGCTGGATATCTTTGCTTCTGGGCCCTATCAGGGAACAAACTAGAAAATGTACACATGTGTGTGTGTATATATATATATGTGTGTGTGTGTATATATATATCTATATATATATACACACACACACAAATATGCGCATGTGTTTGCATGTATATGCCCATATAACATGGATATACATATGTGAATATGGGTATTTTTTTTTTCAAAATAAGAATTTACATTGATACCTCCAATTCTCCCTTTTTCTATAATGAGAACATGGGCTCCCAACAGTGCCAACATTTTACTCATTTGGTCTAAACGAGTACCATCTAAAATGGTTTCAGAATTGTTTCACGTATATCACTAAAAACAAAAACAACATGCTACCCTGCTAGATAACCAACCTTATTGTTTTTTGGTTTATCTTTCCAATGTTTCCTTTTATAATGATTAGTAGATATGTGTGTTTTCTTATTTCTCCTTTTTTCCAACACAAAAGATAGCATATTGTCTGTGTAAGCACTTTGGCACTTAACTGTTTTCACTGGAAAATATACCCTGGAAATTATTCCATATCAGTTCATAGAGGTCGTCATCATTCTTTTGTGTGTATGTACACCAGTTCATTCATCTTCTTTTCTATGTTTGTGTATCCAGATAGTTTCTAGCATTTTATAGTTATACAGTTCTGCAATTAATAACCTTGTGTCTTTTCATACTGCTGGAGGTGTATCTTCAGGATAAATGTAGGAGTGGAATTACTAGGTCGAAGTGGTAAATGCCTATGTAGTTTTGCTAGATGTTACCAAATTCCCTTCCATAGGGTTTGTACTGTTTTGCATTCCCATCAGCAATGTATGAGAGTGCCTGTTTTCCCACAGCCTTACCAAGTGAGTCTATTGTCAAGCTTTTGAATTTTTGCCAATCTGAAGGGCAAAGAAATGGTATTTTGGTATAGTTAGAATGTGCATTTTTCTTATTATGAGTGAGGTTTAACATCCTTTCCCATCTATCAGAGCCATATATATAGGGGGAGATGTCTGTCTATATCTTCTTTCATTTTTCTCTAGGAGTTTTGGTCTTTTTAAATTATTACTAAGCTCTTTGAATGTTGGGAATATTATTTCTTTATCTGTAATGTATATTGCAAGTATTTTCTCCCAGTTGTCTCATTTGTCTTTTGACTTTGCTTTTGGTGGTTTTTACCATTCCCAATTTATATATATATATATTCAAATTTGCTAATGATTTTTATTATTGCCCTCGCATTTTGAGTCATAGTTGTAAAAAACATAAAGAGTTTGAAATGAATTTGCTGTGTTTAATAGAAAAGGAATGAGATGGTTATCTCTACCAGATGCTCTATTTATCCTTGTCCTGCAGTCTTACATTGTAAAGCCTGAATGAGAAAAAAATCTGCTATTATGTATAGAATATGTAAGTTAATTTATTTTACTTTTAACTTTTTTAATAGAAAATTTCAGATATCCATAAAATATGCTTATGTATCTATCACCTAGCTTTTGTAATTATCATTTCTTTTAAAACTTCCCTACTAAATGACTTAGATTATACGTTTTCAGTTATTGTGAATTATCCTTGTAAAGAGGAAGGTTTGGACCAGCCTAGTAGGCTTTGGCCAACTGGCCTCCGAGGCTCTCTTGGCTTCTTTTCAATGGTCTTGGCACCAGACCTGACCTCTTTTAGGCTTCTGTAACTTCACCATTTCCATGAAACTGAAGTTTATAGAAAAAAGATAATAGGTCAGAAACTAGTAATATTACCACAAAGGAGTGAAATAATTCAGAGGGCTTGGCGCCGATTGATGCTTTAAAAGTTATATCTTTCCACTTAAACGCACACACACACGAAAAAGATATCTATTCATCTATTTTTCGTGTGTGTGATATATAAAATATGTATCTGTTCATAGATATATACTTCGTTTCATGTATATGTTTTTGTGTGATATATAAAATATATATCTATTCATCTCTTTTTCATGGTTTAATGTTATTAGAGGAGAGCCAGCAAACATCTTTTATCATTGAGTCTAAAAAGAGCTTATAGATGTTTGCCAGCCAGAGTCTAAATGTAACATAGAAAATACTCAAAAATTCTAATTTGCTTAATGGAATTTTGTCTGTACTACAATTATTTTGAACTGAAATTATATTACTTTCATTTGATAACTTCCATAGAAATTGTTTTATTAATTCAGTATATTCATTTTCAATTTATCAAGAGTCCATGATTAATTTGGCAGAATGACTAGAGATCAGTGGAGCTCTGGGATTTCTTCATTTAATTTTAAGTTCTTGTATTCTATTTGGAACAACATTCTTGATACATTGACATCCAGTTGAAGTGCTGCATTAGAGTGTCAGAATAGCCTTTCCCTCCTGCCTGAGTACAAACTGATCAGTCACTTGCTGCTGGTAATCATATGCGAGAATGGCAGTATTCTTCAGGAAATACTTGTAACAGAGGCAGGAAGGAAAATCAGTGAATTCTTCATCTAATGATTGTAAATCATTTGCATAAGTAAAGTCCACATTTGGTTTCTTTTTCTCATTGAGAATAGCAGTGGTAGTGATCATGGCATGACAGAGTGCTGAATGGCAAGAAGAGGATAGAGAGGACTAGTATAATGATGGGAGGATGTTGCTGCATAGAACTGTATTCATTATTTTTTCTCTGCCCATCTCTTGTGAACTTACTAGATGAACTGATGAACTTACCTTTTGCCTGTGTTTTGCATTTCTTGACCTGTTATTTTTGTGTCGTTCTGTTTTTAGTTTATAATGTCGTTCATCCGTTTTCTGAAATTACAGCTTGTCCACAAAAAAGATAGTTGTCTTGTACCTATCCAGTGTGATAAAACATGATATTTTTATGATTAATACTTACCCCTAAATATATGACAAGGTTCTACTTCGGTGGATTAGAAACATAAAATATAATTTCAGGACTAAGTTTATTATGAAACAGGTTCTTCATTAGTTTGTGGAAAATCATAGCATTCCTGATTAGAAAACAACATGGTAAGTAATTGGTTTTGTGGCACTTGCCAAAAGCATGCAACACATTGTGGGGGTGAGCCAGAGGTATGTGTGTATAATTAAAACCTTTTTTCCCCAGTTCCTGTTAATTGAGGTCTGTACACTTAAAGCTTCTACTACTCTGAGGTTCTACAGTTTTGATTATTAAAAATTTGAGTGCACATATTTTTCTCTTGAGAGCCCCATTTTTAAGCTGGCTTAAAGAGAGAATTCTAGATGTGGAAATAGAAACAGTAAAAATAGACAACTAAAGATCTCAAGTCTGCAATGAACTTGGCTTTTATTGCTGTGGAGTGTTTGTGAGTTTAACTTGGCTTGAATACCAAGTTCTTGCTATAAAAACAAATCCTTTGGGGTTCATTTATAGGCTTCTTTAGTGTGGCCAGAGAATTGGATGCCTTATTTTAATGCTGAATATATACTTTGAAGCTAGTACTATATTAGTTTATGTTTGCCTGAAAATTTTGTGGTGATAGACTTTAGATCAAATTAAATTCTGTTTCAGGAATAATATTCAATCTTAAATGCCTTTTTAAAATTGTGGAATATACACTACCTAAAAATGACCATTTTAACAATATTTAAGTGTACAATTCAGCAGCATTATATATGTTCAGGATGTTGGGTAACCATCACCACTATCTATTTCCGGAAGTTTTTCATCATCTGAAACAGAAGCTCTGTACCCATTAGGTAATAATTCCCATTCTTCTCTCTCCTGGCTCCTAGCCACCTCTATTCTGTTTTCTGTCTCTATGAATTTGCCTGTTCTAGATATTTTATATTAAGTATGATCATACAATATTGGTCATTTTGAGTCTGGCTTTTTTCACTTAGTATAATCTTTTCAAGGTTCATGTATGTTGTTGCGTGTATCAGAATTTCATTTCTATTATGGAAGAATAATCTATTGTATGTGTATACCACATTCTATTTATTTTTTCATCTGTTTACACACACCTGAGTCATTAACACCTTTCACTATTGTGAAAATTGCTGATAAGAACATTGGCATACAAAATTCTGTTTGAGTCACTGTTTTCAACTCTTTTGAAAACAGAATTGCTGGGTTGTATGGTAACTCTTTGTTTAACTTTTTGAGGAACCACTAAACTTGCTTTCCACAGTGGCTGCACCATTTTGCATTTTTCTAGCAATACATGAGGGTTCCAATTTCTCTACATACTTACTAGCACTTGTTATTTTCCATTTTTTTGGAAAGTAGCCATCATAATAGGTGTTAAATGGTGTCTCATTGTGGTTTTGATGTGCATTTTCCTAATGACTAAATTATATTGAGCATTTTTACACATGCTTACTGACAAGATACAGTTGACCCTTGAGCAACTCAGGGCTTAGGGATGCCAGTGCCCCTCCAGTCGAAAATTTATGTATAACTTTTGACTCTCCCAAAATGTAACTACTAATAACCTATTTTTTTTTGTTTTGTTTTGTTTTGTCTTGTTTTGTTTTTGAGACGGAGTCTCACACTGTTGCCCGGGCTGAAGTGCAATGGCGCTATCTCGGACCACTGCAACCTCCAAGTTCAAGCGATTCTCCTGCCTCAGCTTCTTGAGTAGCTGGGATTATAGGCACCTGCCACCACGCCCAGCTAATTTTTTGTATTTTTAGTAGAGACGGGGTTTTACTATGTTGGCCAGGCTGGTCTTGATCTCCTCACCTTGTGATCCGCCCGCCTCGGCCTCCCAAAGTGCTGGGATTACAGGTGTGAACCACCACACCCGGCCCTAATAACCTACTGTTGAAGGCTTACCACCAACATGAACAGTTGATTAACACGTATTTTGTATGTTACACATAATATATGTATTCTTAAAGCAAGCTGGAGAAAAGAAAATGTTACTAAGAAAATCATCAGGAAGAGAAAATGTATTTACCATTCATTAAGTGAAAGTGGATCATCATAAAGGTCTTCATCCTCATCATCTTCACATTGAGTAGGCTGAGGAGGAAGAGAAGGGGTTGGTCTTGGCAGTCTTAGGAGTGGCAGAAGCAGAAGAGGTGGAGGAGGTGGAAGGGAAGGGAAGGGGAGGCCAGGGAGGCAGGAGAGGCAGGCACACTTGGTGTCATGTTACAGAAATACATTATAATTTTTCTTCCTTTTTTTTTTTTGCTTTATTTCTCTAAAAATATTTCTTTTCCAATCCTTCTTCCACCATTTGGTTTAGTTTCAGTGCCTGTATCATAGAAGAGTCCATGTCATAAAAGAAGTCTTGGATAATCGGAACCCTTCTTCAGATTGTCTAATGTCGATTTTTTTTCTGGCACTGCTTATTCTACATCTTCTTCCTCATTGTCTGGTACTAGTTCAGAAGCACTCATCTTCATCAAGTTGTCTTCTGTTAATTCCTCTGATGTGGTGTGTACTAGCGTTTGAGTTTCTCCAAGATCCATATTTTGAAACCCTTCACCCCTCACCTTTTTTGCTGTATCTGCAGTCTCTCACAGTTTCCTGATCAGCTCTATCATACATCTTACGAAATCGTGCACAACATCTGGGAACATTTTTCTCCAACAGGAACTTGTTGTTTTGAGCTTGATGGCTTTTATGGCTTCTTCTGTAACAATGATGGCATCTTCTATGGTGTCATTTTTCTAGACTTTCATGATGTTGTCTCTGTCAGGGTTCTCTTCAATAGGTTGGCAATCCTTTCCATAGAGTAGTGAGCCTTAAAGGTCTTTATAATGCCCTTATTTAGAGGCTGAGTTAGAGATGTTGTGTTTGGGTTCAAGTAGACCCTTCAATGCATAGGTGTTGAACTCATGAGGTTCTGGGTGGCCAAGGGCATTGTCCAATACCAAACAAATTTAAAAAGGCAGTCTCTTACTGGCAAGGTACTTTCTAACTTCAGCGACAAAGTATCAGTGGAAGCAATCCAGAAAGCACTCTCATTTCCAGCCCTACTTGTGGTACAACCAAAATACTGGCATTTGGTGTTTACCTTTTCCCTTCAAGACTCAGGGTTTAGCAGCTTTGTCGATGAGGACACTTATGATTATAAACCCAACTGCATTTGCTCAAAACAGGAGTTAGTCTATCCCTTTATACCCTTAAATCCTGGTGCTCACTTCTTTTCTATAGTAATAAATGTCCTTGGTAAGCTTTGTTTTTTCTTTTTTTTTAGAATAGGGTACTTTCATCTACAATAAAAACCTGGGCAGATGTACTTTATCCTCAGTGATTTTTTTTAATGTCTGGGAACTTGTCTGTTGCCTCTTGGTTGGCAGAAGCTGCGTCTCCTGTTCTCTTGACATTTTTATGCCATACCTCTTTCTAAAATTACCAAGCCATCCTTTGCTGGCATTAAATTCTGCAGCTTTAGATCCTTCATGTTATTTTTGCTTTAAATTGTCATATAATGACTTAGCTTTTTCTCAAATCATATTAGAGTCCATGGATATGCCTTTCTTATAGCAACCCTGTGCCCACAATAAAGCTGGATTTTCATTATGAGATAAAAAAGTATTTTGCAAACAGTGCAGGGTTTTGTGCCTTCTGGCAGAGCTGCAGTGATGGCTTCACCAGTTTCCCTCTCTGTTTTTACAGTGGTCCTTAATGCTAGATTTGTTTTTCTTGAAATAGTCGGCAGCTGTACCTGCAGACCTCAATCTAAGGTACGTATCAAGCAATTCAACTTTTCCTTGTTATGTCATGACTTTTCTCTGCTTCTTGGGAACACAGCCAGCATCACTAGTGGCACTTCGTATGAGTTCCACGGTGTTAGTCAAGGTTTATGATATTGAGCTAAACATGATGAAAAATATATGCATGAACCTTGAGACACATTTTGTTGCCATATACAACTTACTGGAGAGACAAACTGCTCTGGCAGAGATAATTAGCATCGCACAGTGTTTTAATGAATACTCGCAACATTTGAGCTTACCACTATAGCGACAAGAGATGGCTACGAAGTTATTTTGGTAGTAGAGCCTGTACTACAGTTAATTTTATGCAGTTAATGATTTAATACTGCATCTTCACTGTTTACATTTCTCTTGATTATGAATGGCACCATGTACTACAGTCTGTGCATGTGTAAGTCTTGATACATTTTAACTTTTTATAATAGATTTGTATATATTTTTATGGTAAAAAATGATAAAAATAGACTGGTATCTACATATATTTTATGCATTCATGACCTACTTACTTTTTTCTTAATTTTTTCAATATTCCTAGGCTATGAAGTTTGTCTGTAAGATTTTTCAAATTGTCACAAATCTCCAAAAAATTTCAAATATATTTATTGAGAAAATTCACATATAACTGGACCCAAATAGTTTAAACCTGTGTTGGTTAAGGGTCAAGTGTATATATCTTCTTCAGTGAAATGTGTGTTCATGTAATTTGCTCCTTTGCCCTTTTTTCTTTTTTAAGAGACAGGGTCTCACTCTGTCACCCAGTCTGGAGTGTAGTGGTGCGATTATACCTCACTTTAACCCTCAATTCCTGGGCTCAAGGAATCCTGTTGCCTCAGCCTCCTGAGTAGCTAGGACTACAGTCGTATGCCACATGCTCAGCTAATATTTTAATTTTTTGTAGAGGCAGGGGTCTCACTATGTTTTCCAGGGTGGTCTCAAACTCCTGGCTTCAAGTGATCCTCCCACCTCCTTTGCTCATTTTTAAATTGGGTTGTTTATCTCTTTGTTGTTGAGTTATAGGGGTTCTTTATGTGTTCTGGATAACCCTTATCAGATGTATGATTTCACAAATATTTTCTTTCATTCTGGGAGCTTTACTCTGTTGATAGTGTCCTTTGGTGTACTAAAGTCTTTAATTTTTATGAAGTCCAGTTTATCTATTTTGTTCCTGTGGTTTTGGTGTCATATTTAAGAAACCATTGGGCTAGGCATGGTGGCTCATGCCTCTAATCCCAGCACTTTGGGAGGCCGAGGCAGGTGGATCACCTGAGGTCAGGAGTTTGAGACCAGTCTGGCCAACGTGGTGAAACCCTGTCTCTACTAAAAAAAAAAAAAAATACAGAAAAAAATTAGCCAGACATGGTGGCACACACCTGTAATCCCAGCTACTTGGGAGGCTGAGGCAGGAGAATCGCTTTAACCTGGAAGCCAGGGATTGCAATGAGCCAAGATCGCACCACTGCACTCCAGCCTGGGCGACAGAGTGAGACTCCATCACAAAAACAAACCAACAAAAAACATTGAGGAGTTGCCCATTTTTTTTGGTAAGAACTTTATAGTTTCAGCTCTTAAATTTAGGTCTATGACCCATTTTATGTTAATTTTTAAGGTAGATTCAATTTTCCCAGCACTGGTTTTGTTGACGAGACTGCCTTCTCCTCCATTGAATAGTCTTGGCTCTCTTGTTGAAAATCAGTTGGCCATATATGTGAGAGTTTTTTCCTGGGCTCTGTTCCATTCTGTTGGTCCATATTACCATCCTTATGCTAGTACCATACTGTTTTGATTACATTATATTATATATTTGATTTATTATATTAAATGTTTTATTTTTAATTGGATATTTTATTACCATTAATGTGTGCCTTTAAAAATGTTTCTAATATACAATCATCCCTTGTATCTGTGGGGGACTGATTTCAGGACCTTCCTCAAGCACCAAAATCTGTAGGTGCTCAAGTCCGTGATAGGAAATGGCATAGTTTTTGCACATAACCTGTGCGTATCCTCCTGTATACTGTAAATCGTCTTTAGATTACTTATAATACCGAATACAATGTCAATGTTATATAAATAGTTGTTATTCTGTATTGTTTAGGAATAATGACAAGAAAAAATATGTACATGTTTAGTACAGATGGAATTTGTTTTTTCTGAATATTTTTGATCTGCAGTTGGCTGAATCCACAGTGTGGAACCCACAGATGCAGAGGGCTGACTGTGTATCTTTGAATTTTGCTTTTAATAGTTTCATTTCGTTGACAGTATTCCAAAAAGAATGGCAAATATTAAATTTATTATGAATACTTATGGAGTTATACTAGGAAAAAATGTTAAAGCAAGCAAGTTGTTGGTTATTTAATTCATATTGTAACTTTCTTTGGAAATTTGAGGATTAGAGACAAAAGCATGAAGACAAAAAAGAAAATATTTGTCTTGCTTGCAGAAAAAATGCAATAATGAAAAGACCAATAAGTCACGTAATCTAGTAAATTGTTCAATTTTATGTTAAATGCTACTTTTATTTTAGTTCCAGAAGCTATCTACTTACTGAAAATCTTGAGATTTCATAAAAGACAATATTAGTATTTTATAAGGAATAATTTTTACTAAAGAGCTGGCAGTGAGACTCCTAAGCCAAATATGAATGACTGTATTTAGGTTATTTTTATGTTACAAGTATCTAATTAATCTTGTGTTCCTTCAGACTGCAACAGCAAACAGAAAATTAGGAGAACATTAGATGTCATTTTCTCTTACTTTGTTATTATATGAATTTTTTTTTATTTTTCTGTAGTACATTTGTGCCCTTTCTTTTTTTATTACAATACTTTAACCATAGTTCTAAAATAAGTTATTTGGTATTTAGAATTATGAAGTATAAATATTTTGTAACAAGAACACTGGGTTATAAATTAAAGGCAAAAATCTGTCAAGAAAGCATAATTTTAACCTTTTAAAATGTATTTTAGTTTATTTTACCCCATGAACCAAATACATAAAATAGATGCCCTCCCTGTAACTCCCTTGTTTACTTTCAGTTTTCTCTGATAAATCTCACAGTTCTAAAAAGTTATATATTGGCCCATCTTGTTTTATTACATTCCCATGCATTTACTCTATCCCTGTATTATGAAACAAATTCCGTCAGTAAATATTTTTGTGTGTGTGTGCGTGTGTGTGTGTGTGTGTATGGATACGTGCGTAGGAATAGACTCCTAGTATTTAGTTTAATATGAATCCATTCAATAAACATCTTTTGAATTTTTCCTTGCTTTAGATGCAGTGGGCTTAGTGCTAGGAATAGATGTTTAAGACATGATTTCTGCCCTCAAAGAGCTTACATTATAGCTTAGAAAGAGTTCTTATGTTGATAATTTATGCTCACTGAAGTCCTGAAGAGTTTCAACCTTAGAACACTAAGAACTCTTGAGCTAGATAAGGACAATGTGTTGTATTCTGGCATATCTGACTTAGATATTCAAGGAGAGGTAATACAGTATCTCCTTGATCCCTTTATTCTAAAAGGGAAAGAAAAAGAGCTATACTTCATACTAGCAATAAAAAAAGTTGAAATATACAAAGAGTTGGGCTTGTCAGTTGTAAATGACTATTGAGGTTTCTGATGAGGTACATTAGAATTATGCGAAGCCATTTATGCCTTCCTCATATTGAATTTATAGTTCTGTCTTTTTGGACAACTGATTTAAAATTCATTTCCACTTTCAGAATGTGTTGGGGATTCTTTTGAGTTTAGAGGGTTTGCCATGTATACCAATAAAGATTGTTCTTTTATTTGTTCTGAATATTTGCATATTATGGTGATTTTCCTTTTTTAGTGTTCTGGAGATATTGATGGCATTTAATTTTAAAATCAATCATAAAGTTCTATCTTTCTACCTTCTAAATGTCTGTTGAATCTGTCTACTGCTTTTTTACTTCTTGTTGCTAAGATATTTCAGGCCATCATTCTACCTAAACTGGATAGCTGCAGTTTCCTTTTAACTGTCTGTATTAGAGGAGGCCCTTTGGAGCCGTTTTCCATACTGCAGCAAGAGTCTTCTTTGTAGAATGTGAATCTTACCCTACTTTATTGAAATTCTCAGTGTCTCCTTATTGCCTTTAGTTAAAGCTCAGAGTATGGCATCCTTTCATTATCCAACTGGTACTTATATATATCTCCAGTCCCTTCATTTGTCATCCTCTGCACTTTCCTTGCACCTTACATGTAGATATGCATACCTACACCCACTCTTTCCCCCTTAAACAGCTTCTCCTCCTCCTCCTCTTCCTCTTCCTTCTTTTGAAACTTGATATTGTGTTCTGGGTGTTGAGGTAGGGCCTTCTATTTATCCGTTTAGAGCACTTAATGCTGTGTTGCTATACTATCCTCTATCCTCTTGTATATCCCGTCTATCCCTGTAAGACAGTGAGTCTTATTTTTTCCCTGTGTCTGTAGGGCCTGGTACAGTGACTGGGCCATAGTAGGCACAGATCAATGATTATTGCTTGAACGAATATAGATTACTTATTGCTGATTCAAGTTAAGTCGCTTAAGAAAAGCCAAGCATTTATTATCTCACAGTGTCTGTGGGCCAGGTATTTAGGAGTGGTTTAACTAGGTGGCCCTGGCTTAGGATTTCTCATAAGGTTGTAGTCAGGATGTTGGCAGTAGCTATCTAAAGGCTTGACTGGGACTAGAGGATCACTTTCCAGGATGGCTCACGTACATGGCTGTTGACAGAAGACCTCAATTTCTTACTAGCTGTCAGCAGAAACCTTTGGTTTCTACTCATGTGGACCCCTCCATAGGGTTGCTGGAGTGTTTTCACAATGTGGAAGTTGGCTTCCTTCAGGGCAAGTAATCTGAGAGAGAGCAAGAAGGAAGTCATAATGTCTTTTATAATCTGGTCACACATAGTCACTTCCTCCATATTCTGTTCCTTAGAAACGTGTTGCTAAGTGTAACCCATAATTAAGAGGGGATTAATTAGACTCTACCTTTGAAAAGAGGAGCATCATAAAATTCGTGGATATATTTATAACCAACACAGAATGGGACAGTAATTTATTATTCTCCCTTGGACCTGACCAAAATAGGTTATTTTCTCTCTCTGCAAAATACTTTTGTCCAAATGGAAATAAATTCAGCCCTCCATATCTACAGGTTCCACATCCATGGATGCAACCAACCATGGACAGAAAATATTTGGGAAAAGATGTTGCAAAAAATAATAATAAAGAATTTTATATTTGAAAATACAGTATAACAAAAATTTACATAGGATTTACATTGTGTTAGGTATTATAAGTAATCTAGAAATGATTTGCAGGTGTGTCCAATCTTTGGGCTTCCCTGGGCCACACTGGGAGAAGAAGAATTGTCTTGGGCCACATATAAAATATACCAGCACTAACGATGGCTGATGAGCTAAAAAAAAAAAAAAAAATCACAAAATATCTCATAATGTTTTAAGAAAGTTTACAAATTTGGGCCATATTCAAAGCTTTCCTGGGCCATATGCAGCCCATGAGCCATAGGTTGTACAAGCATGATTTAAAGTATACAGGAAAATGTGCATAGGTTATATGTAATTACTGTATCATTTTATATAAGGGACTTGAGCATGGCAGGATTTTGGTATACGTGGGGGTCCTGGAGCCAATTTCCTGTGGATACCAAGGGATGACTGTGGTTAAATTTTTTTAAGAATATGCTTTTATTAAAATATTACACATATTTTTGAGGCTATAGTCATTTTGCATATAAACATAATTATTTACTTGAGCTAGTTGGTACCTCTTCATAATTTTACTGCAGTTTTTCACCTAGATTCTGAAAATAAGAAAGTCATGTCTTAGGTTCTATATTGCCTATAAAATGAATCTGACACAAACTTCACTGCTTTGAGGTTTGTCATAGGTCTTTAAGAAATGAAACACGTCTGTCTCTGAGTTATATTTGTATACTTCATGAGAGAAGATCATAAATTATCTTTTAAATTTGTAGCTTAAAACACTTTAAATTGTATAGAAATTAAAGTCCTTTTAGTCTAATATTCCTAACTTGCTCATTCAAGAAAAATTTACATGACAGGCATTTTACTAGGTGGTGAATATAAGTAAACAAAACAGACATATTCTGTCTACTTGGAGTTCATAATCTGGTAGACAACTAGATGGTAAATGTATAAGTAGATATTTTCCAATGATGTTAAGCGCAGACCATGGAAGAAATGCAGATGAGGTGATAGAGGGTCATGGGAAGGCAGAGGTACTTCTACATTGCCAGAAAAGGCTTGTCAAGAGAGGTGACCTTGAAGCTGAAAATTGAAGGAGTTATCCCTGCCAGGAATTTACAGGAAGAAGGGAAGACCCTGCAGTGTGAACAGTTGGTGTATGAGGAATTGAAAGCATGCCTGGAGATGTCTGGGGGAGAGTGGAATGAAGTTTGAAAGGTAGAAAGGGATCAGATATCTAGAATTTTAAAGGGCCATGGTAAGGAGTATGGCTTTTATTAAACACACTGAAAGCCACCGAAGGGTTTTAAAGTTACATACTATAGTTTCTGTTACCTGTCCTCTAGCCCCCAAAGCACTTTGTCTGCAAAGGAGAGAAAGCAGGAAAATAATAAGACCATTATAGTAGTTCAGGTGAAAGATAATCGCAGCTCGGATCTAAAGTGTTGGGAGAGAAAAGGATAGATGAGATCTAGTCTGTAGGTGGAACCAATGGGACTTAACATGAAGAGTGTGGGGGAGGAGGAAAGCAAGGAAAATACTCAGGTTTTGGCTTGAGCAGTTGGTTGGATGACAGTATTCTTAAATGAGACTGGAGGTCAGTGAAAAGGGAAGTCAAGAATTTATTTATTTATTTATTTTTAATTGAGATAGAGTCTCACTCTGTCGCCCAGGCTGGAGTGCAGTGGCATGATCTTGGCTCACTGCAACCTCCACCTCCCGAGTTCAAGCTATTCTCTTGCCTCGGCCTCCCAGGTAGCTGGGATTACAGGCACACGCCATGATGGCCAGCTAATTTTTGTATTTTTAGTAGAAACAAGGTTTCACCGTGTTGACCAGGCTGGTCTCGAACTCCTGACCTCAAGTGATCCGCCTGCCTTGGCCTCCCAAAGTGCTGAGATTACAGGTGTGTGTAGGGACCAGCCCCACAGGGTCGGTGGGTCTTTCCCCGTGTGCGCAGACGAGAGACTGTAGAAATAAAGACACAAGACAAAGAGATAAAAGAAAAGACAGCTGGGCCCCAGGGACCACTACCACCAATGTGCGAACTCCTGACCTCAAGTGATCCGCCTGCCTTGGCCTCCCAAAGTGCTGGGATTACAGGTGTGAGCCTTATTTTTGAACTTGTTACTTTTGTGACATCTGTAAGTGACCAAATGGAGACGTCAAGTGGCAATCAATTAAACAATCTTGAAGCTCAGAGAGTTAGGAGGAGATATACAGATGGTATTTAAAGTTGTAGAGTGAATAAGAGCTTTTTTAGGGAGAGAACAGCCCTAGAAACTCTACCTTTTAGAGTTTGCTTGCATGGGCCACATTTTGCTTGCTTTGTAAGACAAACCACAGCACAGAAAGAACACCTGCACAAACTGCAGCACAGAAGTTTGCTTTGTTTATATTAGTTTATATTAAAACGTGCTTTCTTATTTATTTATTTTTAAAAATTTTTGGCAGTAATGGTACTGTAATAGATGAGAAAGTATTACATCTCTACCATGTCTACCATTTGTTGAATGAATGACTAACAGAGCCCTTCCAAGCTGTGTGACCTTTGAATTTTACCTCTCTGAGTCTCAGTTTTCTTCTTCTTCTTTTTTTTAGATGGAGTCTTGCTCTGTTTCGCCTAGGCAGGAGAATCCCTTGAACCCAGGAGGTGGAGGTTGCAGTGAGCTAAGATCGCGCCATTGCACTCCAGCCTGGGCAACAAGAGCGAAACTCCGTCTCAAATAAATGAATGAATGAATGAATGAATGAATGCATGACAGAAATTTATTTCTCACAGTTCTAGTTCAAGATCAACGCACCAGCAGATTCAGTGTCTGGTGAGGGCCCACTTCCTGGTTCACAGACAGGACCTTCTTGCTGTGTCCTCACATGTGGAAGAGGCAAAGGAGCTTTTATAAGGACACTAATCAGTTTATGAGAGTTCCACCCTCATGACCTAAACACCTTCCAAAGGCCCCACCTCCTAGTACCATCATATTGGGAGAGATGGGATTTTAACATGAATTTGAGGTGGGGGAACACAAATATTCAGACCATAGCAGGCAGGCGGGCAGGCAGGCGGGCGGATGGATGGACGGAGAGAGACAGACAGACAGACAGATAGGGAGATAGAGAAATAGAGATACACATCACATAAATATACATGTGTATAGCGTAGTGTCTTAAATATCTGAAACCGATTCTTTAATGTTCATATATTTCAGATATTGTTTTTGTCCAGCTTTTCTCAGTTTGTCATAACTTGGCTACCTTCAAAGAAGGTTAATTTTTTAAATGATGAAACTCTAAGGTGAGGTTTGGTTTGAAATATTTTTGAAGTCTAATGACTAGGAGAATGAATTAAAACAGTATTATAGGACTGGGCACAGTGGCTCACACCTGTAACCCCAGCACTTTGGGAGGATGAGGCAGGCGGATTACTTGAAACCAGGAGTTTGAGACCAGCCTGGGTTACATGGAGAAACCTGATCTCTACCAAAAATACAAAAATTAGCCAGGCATGGTGGTGCAGGCCTGTACTTGCAGCTACACAGGAGGCTGAAGTGGAAGGACTGCTTGAACCTGGGAGGCAGAGGTTACAGTGAGCTGAGATTGCGCTACTGCATTCCAGCCTGTGCCATAGAGTGAGAAGCAACAAACTCCCTTTTTGTTTGTTTGACGCAAACAAACTCCCTTCATATATGCTCTGCTATGGAAAATATTGTAAATTTTTACATTTAGATTATATATTCCCTGAGGTTTTCCATTTATTTGAAATATGTGATAATGTGTTTGATAATATCAAAGGGAAAACATTTATTCCACATGTATTAGATTGAACTGTAAAAATTACTGATACTCTCTTTTTTCTGACCTAACAAAAATGGCAATTTCATTTGACTCAACCTTAATAGAAATAATTTTTTCTAAAAGTCCTTATATTCTTCGTGATTTGATTTTAGCACTTTGTGACTTTCCTTCATTCAACAACATAATTTACTCTTTTCATTCTTAAATCCTAATAATACACATCTTGAGGGAGACTTTAAGGACTACAAGTGCTTGGTTAGAAGCTATTTGTTAGGCTTCTAATATTCTGGCACTAAGTCAAAGACTTTACATATGCTATCTCCAATCCTGACAATAAGTCTGAAAGAGGAATTAGTATTAATGGCAGAGCTACAGTTTGAATCCTTTTTATGACCTAGTCTTATAAGTCACATAGTATCACTCCCAACATTTTACTTGTCGAAAGTGAGTCCCATTCAAAGGGTATGGAGAAAAAGGCTTTTCCTTTTAAAAGTAGGAATATCAAAGAACTTGCTAACATTTAAAATCACCACAAAATGCTAGGGACTTTGGGATGTACTTTTTGTCATGGTGAAAATTCTATTTTGCCCTTCTAAAAAGTTTCTTCTCTTTGATGACCATGTAAAAATGGTTTACAGAAGATTAGTGGTCACTCCTGAGTTCTTCCTCTTTTAGAGTTTAACTTGAGACATGGTCTGTTAATTATGCACAATGGAAGCAATTAGTCTGAATGTTTTTAGTCTGGTCCAGAGATTTTAATCGTATGCCAGTTTTTCATATTGGGTTTTAAAAAAACTATTTTATTGGATTTACAAAATATATAACCCATTTATAAATTGTTTTTATTGTTGATTCTGTGAAAGCACTGAATTCTACCTCTTGTTTTCTGTGATAATGATTTTGTATTTACTAAATTTACCTTTTGATTAATTCCAGGTGACAGTTTACAGATTTCTCATGGGCAGTCTGCAAATCTGGTTTCCCTAAAGAAAATTGCAGACCATGTATAGTGCAAAAACATATGTGGCACAGTATTTCAGTGTGTGTATGGAATATAATGCCAGATTTTCCTAAGAACTTGGAGGTGGGAAAGAGCTTTGAGAGCAGCAGAGTGAGAAAACTTGAGTGTGTGAAAAGGGCTGACAACTGTGATATAAGCCATGCCTTTGTATTTATGGCTAATCTGGAGAGTAGAATGGAGGTATTCTGAGATAACTTGAATTGCAGTATTTCTTCATGCAGTATGTCATATTTGACAGGGGAAATATTGCATTCAGGACTTTATATTCACCCTCAGATATCAACCTGCCAGACTGCGTGCAGAAAAATCACAGGGAAATACTGAGATGGGTTATTGATTTAATGTTCCGTTGTGAATGGATTATAAAGCCAGGACTGAAACCCAAGAGTATAGTAACCCAGACAACACTTTCGGATCTCATCTTCCCTGGAAAAATCTCATATTATTTGCTCTAAATTTTTAGAGCTTGTTTCCTTGTTATCTTATTGTTTTTCTTTAAACTATCTACTATGATTTAAATATTGTCCCCTCCAATATGCAGGTGTTGAAATGTAATGGCCATTGTGATGGTGTCTTAGTCTGTTTTCTGTTGCTTAAAACAGAATACCTGAAACTGGGTAATTTGAAAAGAAAAGGAATTTATTTCTTATGCTTATGGAGACTGAAAAGTCCAAGATCAAGAAACTCCCTCTGGTGGGGGCCTGCTTGCTGGAAGGGACTCTCTACAGAGTCCTGAGGTGGTAGGGGACATCACATGCTAACTCAGGTCTCTCTTTCTTGTCTCAGAAAGCCACCAGCTGATCCCCACGAGGACCTTAATCCATGAATGGATTAGTCCCTTCGTGAGAGCAGATTCCTCATGAACCAGTCAAAGGCCCCACCTCTAATTACTGCCACATTGGAGCATTAAATTTCAACGTGAGTTTTGGAGAGGAGAAATTTTCAAACCATAGCAGATGGCATTAAGAGGTAGAGCCTTTAGAACATGATTAGACCATGAAGGCTGCTTTCTTATCAATGGGATTAAGACCCTTCTAAACGAGCCTTTATGCATTAGGTTTCTTGCCCTTTCGCCTTCTGCCATGTGAGGACACACGCTCCTCCCCTCCAGAGGATGCAGCAACAAGGCATCATCTTGGAAGCAGAGAGCAGCCCTCACCAGACAAGTGAACCGGCCATTGCCTTGATCTTAGATTTCTCAGCCTACAGATCCATGAGGAAATACATTTCTATTATTTGTAAACTACCCAGTTTCATGTATTCTGTTATCACAGCACAAATAAACACAGAAACTATCATGCTGTTTTCAAAAGTTTTTGTTTTTTAGATTATTACAAAGTAAAATTCACCTTTTTGTGGTATATAGCTTTATGGGTTTTGATACATGTGCAGATAAGTGTAACTGCTACCACAGTGAGGATACAGGACAATTTTATCACCCAAAAAACTTCCTTGTTCTGTTCCTTTATAGTCACAGTCTCTCTCACCTCTAACCCCTGGCAACCACCAATCTGTCTTCATCAAAATAGTTTTTTTCAAGAACACCATATAAATGGAATTACATTTGTAATCTTTTGAGACTGGTTCATTTGACTCAGCATAATGCCTTTGAGAATAATCCAAGTTTTTATATGTAACAATAATTCATTCACAATCTGGATGCAGTGGCTCATGACTGTAATCTCAGCACTTTTGGAGGATCGCTTGAGGCCAGGAGTTTGAGACCAGCCTGGGCATCATAATGAGACCCCACCTTTATGAAAAAAATTTAAAAATTAGCTGGTTGTGGTGTTGTGTCTGTAATCCCAGATACTCGGGAGGCTAAGGCAAGAGGATTGCTTGAGTCCAGTAGTTCGAGGGTGCAGTGAGCTATGATTGTACCACTGAACTCCAGCCTGGGAGATTGAGCAAGATCCTGACTCAAAAAAAAAATTATTTTACTTTTGTTGAGTTGTATGGGTGCACCATAGTTTGTGTGTCTATTCACTTGCTGAAGGACATTTGGGTTGTTTCCATTCTTTGGCCATAATGAATAGAGGTACTATAAACTTTTGTGTGTAAGTTTTGTGTGAATGTAAGTTTTCATTTCATTTCTTTTTCTTTCTTCTTTATTTTTTGAAACAGGGTCTTGGCTTTGTCACCCAGGCTAGAGTACAGTGGCACAGTCACATTGCATGTAGCCTCTGCCTCCTGGGCTCAAGCAGTCCTCCTGTCTCAGCTTCTTGAGCAGCTAGGACTACAAGCACGCCACCACATCTGGCTAATTTTTTGTTTTTAATTTTTAATTTTTTTTTGTGGAGATGGGATCTCACTGTGTTGCCCAGGCTGGTCTTGAACTCCAGGCCTTAAGTGATCCTCACGCCTCAGCTTTTCAAAGTGTTGGGATTATAGGTGTGACTCACCACACTTGGCCCAGTTTTTATTTCTTTAGTGCCAGGGTCAGAAAACTTTTTCTGTAGAGGACTGGATGAAGTATTTTATGCTTTAGGGTCTCTGTTGTGGGTACTCTGCTGTTGTAGTGTGAAAGGAGTCATAGACAATACGTAAGTAAATGAATGTGGATGTGTTCCAATAAAACTTTATTTACAAAAACGTGTGGGCTAGATTTTGGTACATGGCTGTAATTTGCTAACCCCTGTTTTATGGTAAATACTTAGGAATGGGATTGCAATTTATCATGAGTACATAATAAATAAATGTTTAATTTGATAAGAAAATGCCAAACGTTTAGTTTATTGACTTAAAATACACTTAGTTTAATAACATTTGAATCATGGGATGTTTTTGAACTCAGACGTTATAGTTCACGCAGCAAGCTCACCTAATTTATAAGACAGGCTTTGGTCTTGTCTTACACTGAGGGTCTATTTTGCCTTTTACTTTTTTCATATTCTTGTGTGGTCTTTTGGCTTGGATATATTTTTTCTTTGCAGATAAAAGGCATACTCATTTTTTAAGTAATTTTTGTTTGAATTAGTTAAGATGCAGTCAAACATTTCAAGGAGGTTGCCTTTTTAAAAAGGTATGTATTAGGAGCAAAGGATTAGAGATGGAGTTGCTAAGTTTTTAAATCAATTAGACAGTTGATCGTATCCTAGAAATTGGGTATAGCTGGATATACTCTATACTCATCACACCATGATGTCTCTTTAGAAGACTTTGTTTCAATGCCAAACCCAGACCTTTTCAGTATGGAAGCTAAACCCAGACTGTTTATCCATAAGGGAAGCTCACCTGTGAGATCGTATCTTTGTTTTGTGTTAGTTTTTGATGATAACTTAGGTGTTAAATCTTAGGTTAGTAGCCAAGTATCCTTGGAATTCTTCTTAGGAACAGCATCCTACAGATGGAAGGTTGTTGTTTGTGTTTTTTTCTGAGGGATGCAGAATTCACTTTCCATTTTGTTGTGATTCCCTTTGCCACAAAAAGCTGGAATTTGGGGTTAAAAGACAGGTAAATAATCTTGGATATACCAATAGCTAATGAAGTTGGAGATGATGAATAAAGCAAAGGAGGTCTATTTTTCTGGTTATGATTTACTATTACTTTTTCTCTTCTGAAAAAGCAGTGAAGCCCCAGGACCATAACAACATCAGGGAGGTGGGAAGACCATTTTGTGCTAATAGTAGTCCAGTCATCTTCATGCAATGGTTGAAAGACTGTATCCGTGAGTGGGAAGTGCTACTGTTGATATGATATGCTTTTTTAAAAGAGGTAACTATTTGGGGACGAAACAAACAAAAAAACTCTTTTCTACTTTCTGCGGGCTTGGGCACTGGCACTTGAATCACTGGTGTGGCAATTGAACATGATCTCCTTTGACAATCAAATAAAAGTCATAGGTCATCTCTCTAGAATATATGTATGTTTACAAATTTAATATGAAGTTTTGGGGCTTCATTTACCCCCAAGCCAGCATTGTCCAATGTAACTTTCTGTGACAATTAAAATGTTTTATATTGGCTCTGTCTAATACAGTAGTCACTAGACACATAATAGCTGTTGAGCACTTCAAAAGTGTCTGCAACTGAGGAACTAGATTTTTTACTTCATATATTTAAATTAATTTGTATTTAAGATTAAATAGCCACATGTAGGTAGTGGCTGCCAGCTTAGGCTCTTTCATATGCCATAGGTTATAATCCCTATAAAAGAGGTTTTGTGAATGTCATTGTTAGGAATTTAATTTGTTTATTTCACTTTTGATTTTTGCAGTCAAGCAGTAGTTAATTGTATCTTGCTTTTCAGTTAAATTTTAATAGTTGTTATCTCTAAATATGTAACTTCTTTGTAATTCAGGAAGATTTAAAGGCGATTTTCAATATTTGATCCTGTTTCTTTCATAATGAAATATCCAGAATAGGTTTGTCCTGGGATTTTAAGCTTGTTCAGAAAATGTGAGGTGAATACCTATTGAGTCCTGTGTTGTGGGCTCTCCAGCGTCACTTTGTCCTGCGTTAGGAACACTCTGGTTATTTAGAGCCACCTTTGCCCAAGTATCTTAAAAGTGCATTTCCCCTTTGGGAGACCGAGGCGGGCAGATCACCTGAGGTCAGGAGGAGTTCAAGACCAGCCTGGCCAACATAGTGAAACTCTGTCTCTACTAAATGTAAAAATTAGCCAGGCATGGTGGCGTACACCTGTAATCCCAGCTACTCGGGAGGCTGAGGCAGGAAAATCACTTGAATTTGGGAGGTGGAGATTGCAGTAAGCCAAGATCAGGCCATTGCACTCCAGCCTGGGTGACAAGAGTGAAACTGTGTCTCAAAAAATAAAATAAAATAATAAAATAAAAAAAGTGCATTTTCCATACTCATACGTTATTTAGCAACAAGCTGAAAAGTTTATAGGTGACCTCCATACCATATGATTTTATATTTCTGTGGCAGTGGTTCTCAACCCCGGATGCACATTAGAATCAGTTGGGAAACCCATAAAAACACTGCCCAGGCTCTAGCCCCAGAGACTTAATTTGAACAGAGTGTGGCTTCCGGGCATCAGAGCATTTTTTAAAAAGCTTCTTAGTTGATTCCAGTATCCAACCAAGGTTGAAAAGTCCTCATGTATGAGATAGTTAGTGGACCTGGGCTACCTGTGTTGAGGAAAATATTCTGAATTAGAGATTAATTCATAACCTTTTTCCCCCTCTTTCTAGCTGGAGCCCAGATTTCAAGTTTTGAGTAAAATACCTTCAAGCGAATGGGCCCTATTGTGCTCACACATTCAGAACCTGTTACCCAAGGAATTCCCTAAAGGTCAGTCTCTGGGAAGAAAAATTGTGGGTTTTTGTTTTTAATCTTTACTATCACTGGATTTATTGATAAACAAAGACTGTTAATTATGTGTAGACAGGACTTTTTATATTGACTTGATTTATAGAGCTACCATTATAAATTTGATTACTGTACTATCATATTTAGGAAATAGAAAATGTATCTTGAGAACTGTTTCTAATAGGCTATTTAAAGGAGGATATATGTTATATGTACACCTATATGCTTACACATATTTAACATATTTTAAAAGATATTCAAGAAATTAGTGATGACAGTGCTAGGGAGGGAAACTGGAGCCCTGTAGTGGGATATTTACTTTTACTGTGTATTCTTTTCAGTATGGTCTTTTAAACCCCATGCATATATTAAATTTCAAAAAAAATTCTTAATGGCTAAAAATGCTTTTTTAGTTTTATAAATATGCTTATATAGTTTTTTCTACTTGGAAAAATAGAAAACAACCTCACATTCCTTGAAATTGAGGGTCTCTGCTTGTTACTTGGTATACTATTTCTTGTGTTGGATGTGTTATTTAGGGGCATACATCTGATTTTCCTCTCTTGAACTCATGTCCTGGGATTTTTTTGCTTTACATTTTCTTTCACCTTTTTATTTTTTATTTTACTTTATTTTTTGAGATGTAGTGTCGCTCTGTTGCCAGGCTGGAGTGTAGTGGCACAATCTCGGCTCACTGCAACCTCTGCCTCCCCGGTTCAAGCGATTCTCCTGCCTCAGCCTCCTGAGTAGCTGGGATTACAGGCACCCACCACCACACCCAGCTAATTTTTGTATTTTTAGTAGAGACGGGGTTTCACCATGTTGGCCAGGATGGTCTCCATCTCTTGACCTCGTGATCCGTCCCCCTCGGCCTCCCAAAGTGCTGGGATTACAGGTGTGAGCCACTGCGCCCAGCCTCTTTCATCCTTTTATTTCGCCATGTTCCAATTTGTCTCTTTTTATCTTTTGCACTAATTTGTATTCCTTCAATTTATTTCCAGCTTAATTAATGGCACTACCATTGTTCGTATCACCCAACCTGGAATTCTGAGTCCTCTTGATCTCTTTTTCTTTTGATCCTGAAAGATATCTACTTCCTAGATTGTTAATCCTTTGTCAGTGGCATTACTTGTAATCTCTCATACCACTGTGCCCCACCCTTACCTCTACTGGCACTGCCTTTATCGCTGAAAGCATCATTAAGATACATCTATCCCACATATCACACTATATTTAGAAATATTTTCTCTACATATATAACCCTCCTACTTAACAGTTTATTGTTAGTCTAACATGTAAGGCCTTTTAGGCTCTTCCTGTGACTGGCTTTTCTCTGCAAGCCTCATCTCCAGCTTTTCTCCATATTCACCCTTTGTTCCAACTATGCAGAACTACTTGGCCAACCCAGCAGCGTATCTTGTGCTTTCTTGTCTGTGTACACAGTTTATTTGCTAGAAATAAGTTCTAGTCCATTGTCAGCTGAATGAACTTGTCTTCAATTTCTAAGGCTTAGTTCAGATGTTACTTTCTCTATTGATAGTTAACTGCCTTTTCCCTGTGTTCTCCATAGCACTTTATTTTTTATTATTCATTATAATACTTATCACATTGCTTCTATTATGTTTTTTCACTTAACCATGAGCCCCTAGAGGGTAGAGTGTGATTGATTTATCTTTCCATCACTAGTTACTAGCAGAGTACTTGCATGTAACAAGTGTTATTAAATGAATAAGAAAGTAAATGTTAACATATACAATTTTTGAACTCTTGCTTTATAACCATGTGAGGTCACTAAGCCAGTGTTTTTAAAGTTTAATAAAAGCTAACCTGAGTTTTACATTTCTGAAGAGAGAGTTTAATAAGTTACTTATTAGTAACTTATTAATCAATTATGAGAAAAATATTTACCTATTTGAAAAAGCTGACTTTTTTTTTTTTTTTTTTTGAGACAGTCTCACTCTGTTGCCCAGCCTGGAGTGCCGTGGTGCAATTTTGGCTCACTGCAATCTCCTCCCCCCAGGTTCAAGTGATTCTTATGCTTCAGCCTCCTGAATAACTGGAATTACAGGTGTGTGCCACTACAACCGGCTAATTTTTTTTTTTTTTTCAGACTGAGTCTCGCTTTGTCACCCAGGCCGGAGTGCGGTGACGCAGTCTCGGCTCGCTGCATCCTCTGCCTCCTGGGTTGAAGCAATTCTCTTGTCTCAGCCTCCTGAGTAGCTGGGAATACAGGCGTGTGCCCCATGCCCGGCTAATTTTTGTATTTTTAGTAGAGACAGGGTTTCACTATGTTGGCCAGGCTGCTCTCGAACTCCTGACCTCAGGTGATCCACCTGCCTCGCCCTCCCAGAGTGCTAGGACTACAGGCATGAGCCACCACGCCCAGCCTAATTTTTAGTAGAGATGGGGTTTCACCGTGTTGGCCAGGATGGTCTCAAACTCCTGACCTCAAGTGATCTGCCCACCTTAGCCTCCCAAAGTGCCGAGATTACAGGCATGAGCCCCTGCACCTGGCCAAGAGCTGACTTTTTAAAAAGTACTCTTAGATGATTCAGAATACTTTTCATGCAAATCACTTATACATAAGTACATGACAATTTGACCGTTATTTAAAGTAGAAAACAGAGTAAGCTTTTATCAACATAACCAGAGTTTATGTTCTCAAAAGTAATAATGCTGTATTTATTTAACATATATTGTTTTGATATTTTGCTTATTCTCTCTTCATTGCATATCCGTTTGAATATGGACATTTATTTGCCTTTTGTTATTCCTTAGTTTGAATATAAGGATCATGGTAGAAATTTACTATAGTTTCTAAGTTTATATTCCTTATAGAGTCTTTAATGTACATTTAAAGTTGATTCTGTGCTAAATTACCTTTTTCTAATTTTTTTTTTTTTTGAGACGGAGTCTTGCTCTGTCGCCCAGGCTGGAGTGCAATGGCGCAGCCTCGGCTCATTGCAACCTCTGCCTCCTGGGTTCAAGAAATTCTCTGCCTCAGCCTCCTGAGTAGCTGGGATTACAGGCGCTGGCCACCACATCTGGCTAATTTTTTTCTTGTATTATTAGTAGAGACGAGGTTTCACCATCTTGGCCAGGCTGGTTTTGAACTCCTGACCTTATGATCTACCTGCCTCAGCCTCCCAAAGTTTTGGAATTACAGGCGTGAGCCCCCGTGCCCAGCCTATTTTTTAAACAATAGTTGTAAGTCTGTAGATGTTGGTAGTCTAGAATTTCTCAGATTTTCAAATAGGAAAATCTAGATATTGAAATAAAAAATGTAGAGATTGAGAAATTTAAGTTCTGTAGGTGTACCTACTCTAAATTTATCATCAGTAGGTGAGGAAAAGGATTCCATTCAAAATGGCTGAGTAAAAACATTTGTATTCTATTCTTCTGCCTAATGCTAACTGAACATAACAAAAAGAATAAAGAATAGGGAAGAAATCTTTTAACTTAAGTGAAGTGAGGAGAAAACAGTAATCCCAAACCTCAGATTATGAGAAGAGCTGCCAAACATTGTGAACCTTGAAGCAAATTGGGAAGTATGCAAATATCTATAGATTTTAAACACAGCACAGAGTCTCCCATGGTAGGTAGCAAGGGGACTACAAAGTCTCAGGCAGGGCGAAGCTGCAGGGAAAGACACAGATGTACCTTTTTTTTGCAGAAAAGAGTGGCAAGAAGCAGCAGAATAGAGGAGGTAGTATATAGAGCCATCTCCTTGGTCTCAGTTGATGGAAAGCAGCTGAAGAGAAGTAAACACTGAATCACAATGCAGACATTTGAGAGCTTAACACTCTCCCCTTCTCTAATTCTGCTCCCCAACTCTACTGGTTTCATTACAGTTGTTCAGCCATGTGAAGCACAATCTCACTTCAAGCCATTTGGTTTTACTTGTTCCTTAGCCTGGAATTTTATTCCCCTAGAAATTCTTAGGGATTGCTCCCTCATTCATTCAGGTTTCTGTTCTGCTGTGAACTTCTCAGAGAAACATTCCTTGACTATGCATACTGAAACAGCAACCCTGGGAACATTCTATTTCCAAAGCTTACTGAATTATTTTCATAACCATCAGACATAATTGATTTCTTTGTTTATTTTATTCTCTGTCTCATGAGAATCTAAACTCCAAAAGGACACAGACTTTAGCAGGCTTCTGTTCTTCCTCTACATTCTTAGCATCTAAAACATTGCTGGACACATAGTGGTTGCTTAATAAATATTTGTTGAATAAATTATTCAGCAAACAATAGGCAACACAGAGTTCCTGTGCCCAGTATAAACTGGGAGATCTATATGAGAGGCTTAAGAGACATTATCAGCCAATAGCAATAAGTGGTCTTTATTTTGAACCTGATGCATAGGAAATATCTATAAAAATCAACCATGACATTTATGAGATTTTGAACATTGGATATTTGATATTAACAAAATGATGGTTACTTTTTAAAAAGTATTTTAAAACCTTTAAAATACTTTAAAAAGTATTTAGCCCTAATACTTTTTTTTAGAGTCCTTTTTTTTTGGAGATTCTTACACACATGCACGCACACACATGCACACTTTATAAGAGATTACATAAAGCCTGAATTTTGATTCAGAATAAGTTTAAATTTCTGACAGTTAAAGAATAACTTAAAAATATATATATATGTAATGGAGGATGTTGATTGTGACGCTATGTTTAGATCCCATGGATACATTCCAAAACATGATAAATTATTTTATTTAAAACTGTCAATGCTTATAATGCCATCCTTTGTAACTCTTTAAACTTAGGTTGAAAAGTATTAGATATCAACCTAAAAATAGTAAAGATTCTGACTTATGTTAGGGATTGCATGCAAAAAAAAAAAAAAAAAATTGAAGGCCATTTTTCTAAATTACCTTTAGACAATTTCTGTTTGCAGGGTTATTCTGTGCTGTACCTTCCAAGAAGGATTAGTTCTACTATTACTGATGTGAACTGAAGGTCTGTCCCAATTTGACTTTTCAATGCCTGGAGAGAAATGAATGTAGTGCTCAAAGATTATGCAGTTGCCACTTAAGATACTCTAGAGCCATCATAGACTTTGGAGATGTAGTTATGCTTCCCTAAAAACAAAAAGTAGAGTTTCCATAAGCAAAATGTCCTTTGAGTTCTCCTGTTTTCTCCTTTTTCATTCTGTAATCTAATGCAGGTTCCCTAATCACTGAAAGGAGGTAAACAGATTTTCTTTCCCATTATATAATTTTTTATTTTTGTGGTTCAAACATAATAAATACTTTCAAATTATTATTTAGGCATTTTCTTATATTTATCATGGTGTTCTGCGGAATCTGTAGATTCTTGTGGATTAGGTGGTTTATGCTCCTAGTTTGAAATAAATTTCAATTTAATAGTGTATTCTTAAAATGGCATTCTGTTGTGTATAGTTTTTTAGTTGTAAACTCATATTTTTAATGCATTAAAATTAATTTGTAAATGAATATTTTATGGTGTACACCTGAAAGATAATAAGGGTTTCTTTTTTTTTGGTTGAAAATAAAAAGTGCTTATATATATGTAGCACTATGAATCAGTCAGGATTTAGTTGCAGAGAATAAAATTTGGTCTAGCAGTTTACGCAGGAAAATACTTATTACATGGCATTAGTGGCTTACAAAATCATGGAAGAGAGGAAAGGGCAGACGAAACAGATTTTGGGCTCATGGTTAAACTTTAAAAACATCTCCCAGTGGTATACCTCAACACTGGTTTCTAAGGGAGCTGCGGCTGTCTGTGTGGATCAGGAGACTGTTGTAGGGTGGCAAACTATGGCCTGCGGGCAAAGTCTGGCCTATCACCTGCTTGTCTATGTCTTACAAACTAAGAATGGTTGTTATATTTTTAAATATTTGAAAAAATCAAAAGAAAAATAATGTTTTGTGGCACTTAAAATTAATAAATTCACAATGGGCACAGTGGTAGGCACCTGTAGTGTAGTCCCAGCTACTTGGGAACCCAAAGTGGGAGGAGGATTGCTTTAGGCCAGGCATTTGAGACCATCCTGGACAACATAACAAAATACTTTCTCCAATTAAAAATGAAAAAAATGTGAAATTCAAATGTCAGTATTTATTTGAACACAGCAATACATGCTCACTTACCTATTATATATGGCTGCTTTCACGCTACAGTGGCAGTGTTAAGGTTGTAACAGAAACCGCATGGCAAAATATTTGCTATCTGACCCTTAACTGAGAAATTTCTCAACCCCGGCTCTAGAACACACAGTTCAGTGCCACACACAGTTCAGAGGCAGAAAGCTGCCTCTACTGCTGCTTGCTCCAGTCATACTGTAACTATTATGACCAGGCAAATAGATGTGACATGCACTGCCTCCCAGCAGCCAGCAGGATAATTACTGGGTACTAGGATCTCTGTCCAACACTGCAGGTAAAAAATGTATGTATATCATTGACAGTGTGGTCTCTGCTTCACTTCTCCTTTTCAAAGCTTGGGCAAGGCCACGTGTGGTGGCTCACACCTGTAATCCCAGCACTTTGGGAGGCCAAGGCAGGTGGATATCTTGAGCTCAGGAGTTCAAGACCAGCCTGGGCAACATAGTGAAACTCTGTCTCTACAAAAAATACAAAAATTAGCTGGGCATGTTGATGTGTACCTGTAGTACCAGCTACTCAGGAGGCTGAGGCAGGAGGATTGCCTGAGTCTGGAAGATTGAGGATGAAGTGAGCCATGGTCGTGCCACTGTACTCCAGCCTGAGTTACAGTGAGACACTAGTTAAAAAAAAATAAAAAAAAGCTGGGGCAAGTAAGTTTGATTGGCTGAACCTAAATTGCAACAAGAACCTATTTGCATAGGAGTCTGTGGAAACCTTGCTTATTTTGTTTTATAGCCTCTGTAATACATGAAAGCCCATTACAGGAGCAAGGTACGATGGATCTTGAGCTGCAATCCCCACCATATTTATCATATACTGGCTATAAGAATTTGGAACATACTCTTTTTTTATTGAAATGATTAATTTTTTTTCTTAATTCCAATTCAGTCATTGGTTGGTTTTGCAGTGACCAATTCTAATCATGTCATAACTAAACATTGATTGCCTTCCATGTGGTAGTCATATCACATATATTCTGACTCTCTTTTCTTACAACATTATAAAGCCAGTATCATACTCATCTCCATTTACTATTAAGGAAAATGTAGCTTAGGGTAGTTTGATTTACTTTTCCTGACGTCACATAGATAGTGAATGGAGGAACAGAATTTGAAATTCATAGGAACAGAATTTGAAATTCATATCTGCCTGACACCAGAACTTTTTTGCTGCCGCCTATTCTTGCTAGTCTATTGCTTGTCCCTGTAATGCAGCATTTTTGTGAATCAAACCAGAATTTTTTTTAATCACATATTGAGACTATTTAAACATTGTTTCTTAGTTTCATTGCCTTTACAGAAATTTCAACCTGTCTTTATTTCTTCTTCTGTAAAAGGGAACTAATCAATTTTGTCTTCTATTTTTGCATAACGATTCGTAGTTTAATGCAAAAGGTCTCTGCAGATGTGTAATATCATGCACAAAATATATTGCTCAGACAAAAGACTGCACACATTTTAGTATGGATAATATTATGCATTTATGTTTTATGAGGAATACATGTATAAGCTTCAAGCACAATATTCACTGGAGGGAATAAAAATTTGCTCTTAGCACCCTGACAAGAAATAGAGACATTGCTTTTAAAGTAGTAGAATACGATAAATCAGGCCAATCAGACAAGATTCAGGGATACACTTTCTGTGAGAATATTTTGGTGAAAAAATATTTTTACTTTAGATCGTTAGTCACAATATCTGAACTTTTTGAAGTAGTCTAAGTATTTTCAAGGCAAGGCCTTTGGGGAAAAAATAAAAGCATAAAATCAGTGTTTACAGGAAAAGAGAAGTAAAGAAGAGAAGAAAAGAAGATAAAAAATACAAGCTTCTGAAGCACTAGTGTGGCCTAAGCACAGTGCTGATATACTGACAAGCTTTATAACAACCAGCTAGCCAAGAAAAAAAAAAAAAGCCCCAATTTTTAGTGTTTGCTGATTCCTGTGTTGCAAATATTCTCACCTTGGTTAGTCCCAAGCTATTTGTAGTTTGACAGCTGGATGTCCAAAATTTCTGAAAATTTAGCCATCGGCTCTCATAAGCTGGTACAAGCTGGATCTAACACACCGCTATTTAGTTTAGCTTCATTTAGCAAAAGGTAAGAACAGTAGATGAAAGCAGAAATATTTTGCATTTACATTTTAGTGGATATGCAAGAAAAAAACTTTATGGAACCTGAGTATCTTTTTTAAATCAAAAGTCATCATTTTGGAAAATAATATGAAAGTATATTATTTTATTCACAGAAGAATAAGGTTAATAGTTAAGTACTCTTGATATTGGAGTTTTTTTCTAAAGTTATTATCTCATTTTCTCATTAATAAAAGAATTGCTCATAACTCATTAAATGACATAATACATTGCTGTGTTTAATTGCTAATAGTCACAATCATAGTTTACTATAATCTGGAACTTCTGGGCTTAAACAGTCCTCTCGCCTTGGCCTTCCAAAGTGCTGGGATTACAGGCACGAGCCACCATGACTACCTCAACAATAGTTTTTTATTCGTATTTGCCTTTGAAAAATTCTTCCAAGAAATGATTTCCTTAATATTCTGAATATTATTCTATATTTAATATTGAGGCATGTGTTAGGATTGTGGCAGATTTGAATTAAAGATAGCGGGAGATCCTCAAAGGAAAAGAAAATGTAGTTACATGTATGTAACATTTCCCCTATGTGTCAGATGTATCTAGAGATGCTAAGAATTCTTTGCCAAGATACCGCTCATGAGTCATATTTCTTGTCACCAATCTGGTTACACCCTTGGTGGAAGATACACAAAGTAAACATGGGTTTTGTGGGTTTTTTCTTTTTTAATTCTTGGGGACAAAAATACTTGATCATTTTGTCCAAATGTTTTAAGGAAGAACAAATAGTACTATCTTTGGTAGGAACAACCAGAAAATAAAATTGCCATTGCTTTCATAAGTAAAGGTATTTCATAAAGACAAAGAGCTTCCATTTAATAAAAGAGTACTGGATTTGGACTTATATGTCTTGAATTCAAATTTTAGCTAATGCTAGTTGTTGGATCTTTTTGGCAAGCTGCTTAAACTCTGAGCTTCCATATTTTAAATGTATAAAGTAGGCATACCATTTTGTGGTAGGAAATAAATGAATAAATTTTTGTGAAAATACCTAGCATTGTACTTGGCTATGGATATTAAGGCTATATTTCCTGGACGAAAACTGACATAGAGGCAGGAAATGAGAGTTCCTTAGGGATTAACTCCAGCCTGAGCTGCTAATTACTGATGCTGTCCCCTTAGACTTAAAATGATTCAAGGAAAGAATGGCTGGTGTTTTACACTTGGAAATACTGATTACAAGCCAATGGGCAGAAACCAAGCTGCAAAAATCTGATTGGCTAGAATGGTCTTAGGATAGGCCAGTGAAATTCATTTGTTTTCTTCTGTAATTGACGATCTTTTAAAAATGTGCTTCTCTTTCCTAACACTCTTCTTCCCCACAGCCCCACCTCCCTGAAGCTAGATTAGGTTTCCCTGATGTACTTTTCCCCAGCCTTCCTGTGTTTCCCTGGTATAACATGCATAGCCTTTATCATTCTTCATAATCTTTGCTACCACTCAGTTTCTAAACTCCACGAGGTCAGATATCATGTCTATCTTAAATGAATTGTCATTTCCTGGCACATGGTGTAAATGCCACATGTTCCAGGTTGTTGATATGTACCACTGTATCCCAAGCACCTACTCAGCATAATGGTTGATGTTTTATACATTATTAATGTTTCAGAATATTATAGTGTAAAAGTGATCATTCTGTACCATAATTTTCATCATATATTCATAAGAAGACTGAGAGATTATGCCAAAGTTGTGATGACTCCAAAATACTAATAGGAAATTGCTCTATTTTTATTAGAGGCAAATCTAGGGTATTGAACACTACCAGAACAATGTTGGTATTCCCAGCATGACTTTTTGTTGTTGGAGACCATGGGTAGGTTTGTCTGAAGACTGGAAGAGACTCAGACTTATTTTGCTATTAAATGTTGTGCAATTTATTTAATATCTAATACCTATTGAAAAACCAGTTCCCTCCTTCCCTTCCTCCCTTCCTTCCTTCCCTCTCTAAATATTCCTACAAATACATATATTTTTCATGTTACTTGCTAAGCAGATGAAATTTATTTTAAGGAATTTTTTTTGTGTCAGAGGATTAAAAGGACCAAAATGGCTGTGTTGATGATAAATAGCTAAGAATCACTTTAGAAAAAAATACATGTATCTGATTTAAACATGGTTCAATTGTGCTCACATTCGCAGCACAGAGAAGATTAGCATGGCTCCTGCACAAGGATGACATGCAAATTCGTGAAGCATTCCATTAAAGGAAAAAAAAAAAGAAGAAATAAACAAATAAATGTGGTTCACTTGAGACTAACTTAAGAAATGAATTGGTTGGTATATAAGTATTTAATTTTAGTTGTTAATGTAAATATATTTTTATATAAAACAGTGATTTTTAGGGTTGAACTAAATTCAGAAGTATTGCAAAGTAATTATTAAAGACCTATAAATTTAATGAAGGACAGATACAACCATTTTAAAGTAGTTAATGTTGTCTTTTGTTAATATGTGTCCATGTAAAATGTTTGCTTTCTGTCCATGTATTTTTAATTTCCAAAAGTTACATTGTAATGTATTTCATCTTATTTTTTAATTTTTTTTACCCATCACTATGTTTCTAAGACGTGTCCAACTTAAATGGATCTGAAATGTATACTTTTAAATAACTATATATAGTTGTATATCAACTTTGGTTTGCCTGTTCTTTTGCTCAGTGATGGACCACTTAAGTAGCTTCCAAAAAATTGCTTCCAATGAGAGAATTTCTTCAGAGTGTAGATGTAGAAGAGGAATGCAAGATTCCAAACGATGCAAAATTGCCCTTTAGATCCAGTTCATTTTCTCACTAGTCATGTGTGTAGTTTCTGTCCACATGTCTAAGGACACAGCATTTTCCAGCTTTCTGATTGTTGCTAATCTATTAGGTGCAACGTGGCATTTTGTTTCAATTTGTATTGCTCTGAATACTAATTAAATTAAAACACCTCTAACACCTCTGTGTTTAATGGCCTTCCAGATTCCTTGTTCATATTTTTCGCCTTTTTTCCAGTGGGATTGCTGTATTTTTCTTGTTGCATTACTTGTAAATTCTATATTCTAATTCTTGTCAGTTTTGGATATTTTAAATATCTTCTATTGTGTTCTCTCTTTTTTTGTTGGCTTACAGTGTTCCTTTCTAAGCCAAAATATTTAATTTTGAAGTAATTACATTCATCATTTTATTTTTATATACGGTAAGTGATTTTGAATTTATCCTGTTAGAGTTCTTACGTGATTCATTTTACACACACACACACACACACACACACACACACACACATATGTATATGTATGTATGTATATATTTGCCAGGCGTGGTGGCTCACTCCTGTAATCCCAGCACTTAGGGAGGCCAAGGCGGGTGAATCACTTGAGGTCAGGAGTTCAAGACCAGCCTGGCCAACATGGTGGAATCCCCATCTCTACAAAAATACAAAAAAAAATTAGCCAGGCATGGTGGTGCACGCCTGTAATCCCAGCTACTCAGGAGGCTGAGACAGGAGAATTGCTTGAACCCAGGAGGCGGAGGGTGCAGTGAGCTGAGATCATGCAATTGCATTCCAGCCTGGGTGACAGAGTGAGACTTCACCTCAGACAACAACAACAACAACAAAGAATATGTATGTTCTTCTATTAGCTGTATAGTTTACCTTTCATACTTGGATCTTTAATCCATTTTGAACGCACCTCCGTATGTGACTTTAGAGAGGAGTCTAGTTTAATTGTATTCTAAAATTAGTGAGTTAGTTTCTCAGTACCATTTACATGATTGTTATATACCGTTTTCTGTGACAATTATCACATGTTTGGTTCTGATTAGATATATGGGTCTGCCTCTGAGATTTCTCACCTCTACCTTGGTCAGTTTGTTGTTATACCATTCTGCCACTGATTTTATTACCATGGTTTGGTAGAAGATTATTTTCAAAGTCTAAAAATTATATAATTTAATTTTCAAGTTTCGTGATCATTGTTACCTGTTATGTTTCCTAAGTACATTTAAATTATGTTTAACACTTTTAACTAGTAACCATTATGATCCTTGAGATATATGTATTGTTAATTCTTGATCAATTTCTTTAATTGTAATTAAATGTAATTTCTTCAGGGTCTCTTTTTTCCCATGTTATTTAAGTGTTAGATTTTGCTTTTCAGGAGACATCTGGATTTGAAATTAAATGAGTTATTCTTTTCTCTGAAGTCTGAGAGTACAAGTGTATATATACTCTAAGTGTATATTAAATGGTATGAACATTTTTAAATCAGTCAAAAATTAAAATCAAGTGAATATTAAAAAAAAACCTAGATCAATAATAAGTTTCACATTAGAAATAGGTTGCTTTAAAAAACAAGTTGAAATATTTTAAGTAATCAACACTGGTATAGCTCTCAATATTTTTGAATGACTTAGTGTATGTTCTACTAGGAACATAAATATATGCATAAACCAAAATCAACTAAATGTCTTGGCGTGACTCAGTTTTGACCATAGAATGACTTTGTTTTGTGTAATTTCACAAAGAAAGAAAAACTAAAAAGTAATCTATAGCTTTTTGAGTCCCAAGTCTTTGCATTCTTTGTTCCCTACCTGAAAAATATTCTCAATTCAAATTGTAATTTTTAGCATGTAATTTTGAGACACCACAAACATACATATATATTTTATTTTGATCATTAAATAGAACGTTACGTCTGCTTTTTAGGGGTAGTTAGGTCTTTATATGGAAACATTTATTTCATGTAGTTTGTATTTTGTGTTTAAGCCACTGAATTCAAAAGCCTAGATATTGGAAATACAATAAGTAGATGAGAAACTTAATTTTAACCTCCAAATGCTAAACCTCCTAGCAAATATTTCAACTAGAAGATTTCAGTTTTATAGTCTTTCCCTTTTCCCCAGCTCTAGTTGAGGTGTTAATTGTAAAATGTAAAAGGAGACAAGTAGAATGAAAATAACAGCTAGGTATGCTTAATCCTTCAGTAATGATATAAAAGGCATTACTCTTTTAGATTGCTCTTCAAAATAATATGAATTAGGTCTTATTATGGAATGTTATAAAAATAAATAAGCCTAGGAAATAGTTCCTCACTGCCAGAGGGGTTCTGTGCCAGTTTATTCAAGGTAGTATTTTATATTTTATGACATTGCTTTCCTTCTAAGAAGATGATGAGACTTACCAAGAAAAATATGGTAAACTGATTTACACTTGGAGAATTATTCACTTCAGTTACTTATTTCCCCAGAAATTAGAGAAGCCACATATTTCAAATATTGTCACTGTTTCAGATAGATTTACCTAATATATTAAAAAGCTAACTGATAAGAATAACATTTCTCTTCTGATTCTTCCCCAAAGGCATTTTTTAAAATAGGCTACATGTGATCAACAGAGAAATGATGTAATTAGGACATGTCTAATGATAGTAATCATTCTTACATTTTGATATGGTGGAAGGACAGATACACATAGTTTTTTGCTCTCCTTTTCGTCTACCCCTCCACTCTTCAACTCCTTTAGTGAGAATGTATTCCCCCAGCCATGAGAATATAAATACACTTTTATATTTCGTTTGTAGACTATTTAATTCAAAAATTATAAGGGAGGCCAGGCACGGTGGCTCATGCCTATAATCCCAGCACTTTGGGAGTCCAAGGTGGGAGGATCGCTCTAGCCCAGAGTTTGACACCAACCTGGGCAACGTAGTGAGACCCCAACTCTACAAAAACTGAAAAAATGAGCCACATGTGCATACCTGTAGTCCCAGCTACTCAGGAGGCTGAGGTGAGAGGATCACTTGAGCCTAGGAGGTCGAGGCTTCAGTGAGCTCTGATCATGCCATGCATACCATCCTGGGTGACAGAATGACACTGTGTCTCAAAAAAAAAAAAAATATAGGTGAAACAATAATACTCTGATTAACAAAGGGTATAAATCCACTGACAAGTAATTTTTGTGTCCCTGATAGTCATATTAGTATCACCTTTTATTTTAAAGTGTGTTTAGGAATTTCATAAGTTTCCTAATCTTTTTCATTTATATATCCCTAAAAAATACATAAAGAGCAGATTATATATACATAATATACATATAATTTAAAATAATTTGAATAGAGGAATTTGTGGAAAAGATAAGTTAGGTGTGTCAGCAGGAAGAGTCTCTGCTTCATTCTATCCATCCATTTATCCGTCTATTCGTTAAGCATCTTCAGTGTGTCAGGTACTGTGCTAGCCACTAAAAGTTGAATATAAAGAAACAGATTACTGACCTCACGCCAGATTCATCTTCAAGGAGTGGTGGTGGAGCTGTGCACTTATTGGAGATACTCTCCATAAATCCTAACATGCTTTTATTATACCTGTGGTAGGGCGAGAAATAGCCTCAAATGGGACCAAACTAGAATATTGGCTGTTGACTGAGAGCCTTGATGTGGATACTCAGTGCTTGTTTTTCTAGGTGATGAGGATTATATGTGAATTTGGGATGAGCGGATATGAGATGATAGCACAGACATAACAGGCATTCTTACAGAGAGCAAAGAGCTGTCAAAAGGCATGACTTCAAGTCCCATTCATACTACTTACTAACAATGTTTTGAAGATTGCATGAGATAATGTTTCTCATGTCCTTATAGTTGAGTATAAATACGACCATACGAATGTACATACTTTAAAACAGAAACAGAAAAGTAGATCTTAATAATAGATCTTAATAATCTTTTTTTTTTTTTGGAGACAGGGTCTCGTTCTCTCACCCAGGCTGGAGTACAGTGGCACAATCTCAGCTCACTGCATCCTTCACGCACCGCTTGGGATCAAGCGATCCTCTTACCTCAACCTGGGACCTCAGATGTACAACAACATGCCTGGCTATTCTTTTGTATTTTGAGTAGAGGCGGGGTCTTGTTATGTTTCCCGGGCTGGTCTCGAACTCCTGAGCTCAAGCCATCAGCTTGCCTCGCCCTCCCAAAGTGTTGGGATTACAGGCGTGAGCCACTGCACCTGGCTTAACAATCTTTTTTTTTTTTAATGATTGTAACGATCATATTCTAGTTAGAGGCCAATTAGGTTGTTTCCTGGAAAACAAAGACATTTGAATTCAGCCCTCAAAATAAAAGGAATGTAATTTGACAGGCTGAGGAAAAGAGAAAAAGATTTGGTGAAAGGAAGAGTATTTGCCCAAGATGTGGCCGTCTTTCTTGCAAAGTACTTTCAGAAATAACTGTATTGCTTTATTTGTTTATCTTTATGGTATATTTGAGGTGAAGCAAGGGTAGTTTTTTTTCTTATTCTTTAGATTTAAGAAAATAATTCACAGGGAGATACGTTATTTGCTATCAAATAACCACAAATGAGTCTCATGTTCCCATGCAGTCTGTGAATGAAGAGAATAATACACAGATTGAAATAGAAGGATTAAAATAAAAGTATGTGATGTAATATTAAGCAATTGATGCGTATGTATGGTAAAAAATTACAAATCTTGAACAAGGCTATTAAATAGAAATCTTGAATAAGGCTATATTGAAAAACATCAATTGAGTGTATATGTGACAAACAATTGAAGAAGCTCAGTAAGACTTACCATCAGGTTGGGCACAGTGGGTCGTACCTGTAATCCCAGCAATCTGGGAGGCCGAGGAGGGCGGATCACTTAAGGTCAGGAGTTCAAGACCAGCCTGGTCAACATGGCGAAACCCCCTCTCTACTAAAAAATAAATAAATAAATTAGCTGGGCATGGTGGTGCATGCCTGTAATCCCAGCCACTCGAGAGGCTGAGGCATGAGAATTGCTTGAACCCAGGAGGCAGAGGTTGCAGTGAGCCGAGATCCTATCACTGCACTCCAGCCTGGGTAACAGAGCAAGACTCTGTCTCCAAAAAAACATATATATATATATATATATATATATATATATATATATATATATATATATATGTATGGTTCCCTTATTGACAAACACTTTTATTATTTTCAGGTTTTTACAATTTAATCAATGTTGCTTATGGATGTTACTTTATACGTCTCCTTCTACATATATGTGAGTTTCCTTAGGGCATGTACCTAAGTGGAATTGCTGATTCGTATGATCTGTATATGGTCAATTTTACTAGATAATTCCAACCAGATAATGCCAATCCATAAACACTGTTACTAACATTTATAACCCATTTGTTCACATCTTTACTAATTTGGTATTGTCACATTTGATTTTTGATACACAATAGTATATTGATGTCCTATTGCTCTTGTAACAAATGACCATGTTCTTACTTGAAACATTACAAACTTAGTGTCTTACAATTTTGGAGGTCAGAAGTCCAAAACTGGTCTTGCAGGGCTAAAATCAAGGTGTTCATAGAGCTGCATTCTTTCTGGACGCTCTAGGGGAGAATCTGTTCCTTGCCTTTTTCATCTTCCAGTGGCTACCCTCATTCCTGGCTGATGTCCATATCACTCCAACCTCTGCTTCCTGGTCACATCTCCTTCTCTCTCCTGACTCCTTCTTTGTGATTATTTCAAGCTTGCTCAAACAATATAGAATAATCTCCCCATTGCAAGGCCCTTTACTTAATCACATTTGCAAAGTCCTTTTGGCCACATAATGTAACATACAGGTTCTAGAGATTAGGATGTAGTAGAGACGTCTTTAGGGGCCATTATTCTGCCTCACACAAACGTTAACTCGTTGTTATGTTAATTTGCATTTCATTTATGACTAACAAGGTTGTGTAGCTTTTCATATTTTTGTGGCCATTCATGTTTCCTTTTCTGTGAAATGCCTATTTGTCTTTTGTTCATTTTTCTATTGGGTTGTTTGCCTTTCTCTCATTGACTTGAAGACATTCTTCGCATATTTTGAATGTAATGCTTTTTTGTTCATTATAGATGTTGCAAATATTTCTCTCCCAATTTCTAGCTTGTGTTTACTTTTTTTTTATTTTGATGTACAGAAGTTAATTTTGATAAGGCCAATTTTGTGTGTGTGTGTGTGTGTGTATGTATAATTTTTGTTTTGTTTCATTTTAAGACATTTCTTCCTTAACCTGAGGTTGTACTTTCCAGCATTTTCTTCTAAACATTTTTAAAGATTTGCTTTTCAAATTAATGTCTTCAGATGTCTTCAATTGCTGTGGTGACAAGAACATAGTGAATATAAGCTGCTGAAAGTAGAGCTAGTCGTGGCTGGAACAGAGAGAAATTCAGGTGGGTTGGGAGTGAGTTGATAAATATTTCTTTGAATCAATGATCAAGTTACTACTATATAGCTGTGTTCACATTGCTTTAAGATTAAATACAGTCATGAACTACCTATGATAGGTAGCCATGTAGTAGAAAAATCTGTTATTTCAAACAAAGACCATCTGGGAGAAGCATCAAGGGTTTGAAATTGCATGGTGTGTCCAGGGAACAGCAGATAGGTGATGTGGTATGAGCATGGGATGAGGGGAGGGCTAGGGCAGAAGATACAGCTTCAAAATTAGGGACCCACCAGATTTTGAGCAGCCTTTTTATACCTTGCAAAAGTTTTGTCTCTAGTCCATTGCAGCCATTGTTGTCACTTTTAAGGAAAGTTGTATTCTGATCTGTTTGAAATTTTAGGAAAATGAATATAGCCACATTATCGGCAGAGTAAAAACTGAAGTCGGCATTCCCTTAGTTCCTTATATATAGTAGACACTTAAGGAATTAAATTTCAGCAATGCTATTACAGGTGGGGATGCAAACACAGAGTGTGCAGTGCAGCCTTTTGGTTATTAGTGGTGAATTTTCAATCTTTTAAATGGATTTGACATTTAGTAACAGGCAGAAGATATTTTGAGGAAGTTTTGAAACTAAAGCACATGAGTACACTGGGAAATTCCATTTTTGGTAACACGTGATGTATGATGATACGGATTTTAAGATGTAGCTTACAAAATGCTCTTAAAGCAGTTTGTAGAGAGGAATTTTTTAAAGCATTTCGAACCATGTCAACATCATTATGTATACATAGCTTTCCAACATAACTAATTGGAAGAGCAAAATTCATTTGGATGTATAAATTTTGATATTTTGTGAAAAATGTAAAATAACAATAAAACTCCTCATTCTAATTAATCAATAGTATAATTAATCTGTGAAGAAGCCAACATCTATTTTACCATTATTATTTTTGTTGATATCATTGCTTTATTCATATTTTTTTCATTTGTGAGGTTTTACCAGTGTAATTCTGCACAATCTTTTGGCATTTGTCATTTTCCTTTGATCACTTTTAGGTCTTAACATACATTCCAGCCTCATTCAGTCATGATTTCTTATGACACTAGTGAGCTGTTTTCCTCTTTGGGATGTTCCTTGTCCTCAGTATGTTGTTGATGCTTGAATTTCCAGCGGAGGATTCTGGCTTATTGCCTTTTGTCATCATCTGTTTACCACCCAAACCTAACTCTCTGTTAGTAATTTTTTTCCTTCTGCCCCTGCCTTCTCTTAAATAGTTCTTATTTTCTGAATTTATATCAGTTTTAACTGAACATGTTTTAAAAAGTACATTATGGGGTACCCAACAATCTTAACAAAAATGGTCATTTTTGTTAGTTATGTAATTGATTTTAAACAAACCATAAAAAACAAAGTTGTCTTCTAAGTTTTCTTGTTTTAAAATAAACAGATAAGAAATTTAAAGAAAAAATTTGCCCCCTTTGGTCTATTTTAAATCACCTTAACTAGTCCTTGAGCTGCCTCTAAATCATTTATCTTCTAAACTCTTATTCAGCACCGTTTACTCATTTATGAATCATTTTTTTGTCCATTTCTTATTTGTCAGGTACCATGTCAGGTATTCAGGAAAAAAAAGTTGAATAGGATATGACCTTTGCCTTCCATAATCTTACATTGTCTGGTGTTGAAAAAGACAGTCAAAACAACAGTTACATGATGTGATAAATGCAATGATAAAGATGTACACAGGATGCTATGGGAACCAAGACGGTGAGGCATCTGTCAGACTGGGAGATTCAGGAATGCTTTCAGCCAGGCACAGTGGCTCACACCTTTAATTCCAACTCTTTGGGAAGCCAAGGTGGGAGGATCACTTGAGGCCTGGAGTTTGAGACCAGCCTGGGCAACATAGTGAGACCCCATCTCTATAAAAAAATAAAACAATTAGCTGGGAGTCTGAGGTGGGATGATGGTTTGAGCCCAGGAGATGGAGGCTGCAATGAGCCCTGATCATGTAACTGCACTCCAGCCTGGGCAACAGAATGAGAAAAACAACAACAAAGGAAAGCTGGAAAGCTTCTTAGAAGAGGGACAGTTGAGCTCAGATTTAAAGGATGATTCATAATCATCTGGATGTAGAAGAGCCAGACGGGGAGAGCCCCCAGGAGAGGGCTCAGGGTGCGTGCAGGCAGAGCAAGGAGGCCTGCAGTAGACGGGTGTGGTTAAAGTAGAATAGTAGGGCATGAAGAACGTCAGGCCTATGCAGGGGCTAGATAATAAAGAGCCTTAAAATTTGTACTTTTCCTTAAAGTTATGAGAATCAATCATACATATATTCCTTCAGTTCTGCTATGTACCAGATACTTAGCTATATGTTAAAGGATTTGGAGAGCGTAGCCTTCTTTCAAGGAATTTATAGTTTGATGCAAGATATTGATAATTTAATAGCATGAAATTATCTCTAAGCAAGTTGGTAACTTTTCAATTTAGAACAAATGATTAATGTAATTTTTATCAGGAGATACGTAAGATGTCCTGCAAAAGCTTTCTTTAGGATGAGAACTAGGATACGTAAATTGTAAGCTTAAACATTTTTTCATGTTGTAATATGTAAGTTTTTGTGAGAAACAGTAAAATACACACCCAGAACTCAGAATATCTGAACAGAAAATCTAGTGCTGTCACTTACCAGTTACATAACTCTATGTAAGTTTTTTTTTTTTAACATTTATTATTCACCAACCACTTACTATGAACTAAGGATACAAACTTAAATAAGATTTGGTTCTCTTTATTGAGAAAATTATTGCTAATGGGAATAAATAACCATTTACTGGTAAATGTACATTACGGTAGAATAACAGTAATAATAGCCCTCTCTTACTGAGCACTTGTGCCAAATACTAATCTAAGTGCTTTCCATGTAATAAATTACCTAATTTCTACAAATAACACCATGAGTTAGGTTCTGATAATTATTCTTTTTTTCCAGATAAGGAATCTTACACACAGAACGTATCTGACTTGAGGTTAAATAGTTAGTAATACAATTAATTGCAAAGCCTGTGTAACTAATATGTTATACTGTCTCTCTTAATGATGAATATTCTGTAACAGACTACAGGCATGCAGTACATAATGATATGTTGGTGAACAACAGACGGCATATATGATGGTGTTCCCAGAGACTATAATGAGGCTGGGAAATTCTTGTCACCTAGTGATGTCATAAGTGTTGTAATACCGTAGCACAAAGCACAACTCACGTGTTCATGGTGATGCTGGTGTAAACAAGCCTTCTATGCTGCCAGTTGTATGAAAGTATAGCACATACAATTATGTATAGTATATAACACATGCATATAAATCATGTAATACATGATAATAAATTACCATGTTACTGGTTTATGTAGTTACTATACTATACTTTTAATCTTTATTTTAGAGGATACTCCCACTTATAAAAAGAAAACTAACTGTAAGACAGCTTCAGGCAGGTCCTTCAGGAGGTACTCAGAAGAAGGCATTGTTATCATAGGAGATAACAGCTCCATATGGGTTATCGTCCCTGAAGACCTTCCAGTGAGACAAGATATGGAGGAGGAAGACAGTGATATTGATAATCTTGGCCCTGTGCAAGCCTTGGCTAATATGTGTGTTGGTGTCTTTTTTAACAAAAATGTTTTAAAACTTAGAACAAAATTAAAATATAAAAATGCTTATAGAATAATGATATAAAGAAAAAACATTTTTGTACCACTGTACAGTGTGTTTGTGTTTTAAGCTACGTGTTATTCTAAGAGTCCAAAAGTTTTTTTAAAAATTTGAAAGTTTGAAAGTTCATAAAGTAAGAGTTTCAGTAAGCTGAAGTTAATTTATTATTGGAGAAAGAAACATATTTTGTTATAAATTTAGTGTAACCTCAGTGTACAGTGTTTATAAAGTCTACAATGTATTCAGATGTCCTAGGCCTTCACGTTCATTCACTGCTCACTCACTGACTCACCCAGAGCAACTGCAGTCTTGCAAGCTCCATTCATAACTAGTGCTCTGTGCAGGTGTACCATTTTTTATCTTTCTACAGTATTTTTACTGTATGTTCTGTGTGTGTGTGTGTGTGTGTGTGTGTGTGTGTGTGTGTGTGTTTGAGTCTTGCTCGGTACCCCAGGCTGGAGTGCAGTGGCGTGATCTCGGCTAACTGCAACTTCCACCTCCTGGGTTCAAGCGATTCTCCTGCCTCAGCCCCCTGAGTAGCTGGGACTACAGGCGCGTGCCACCATGCCTGGCTAATTTTTGTATTTTTAGTAGAGACGGGGTTTCACCATGTTGGCCAGGCTGGTCTCAAATTCCTGACCTCATGATCTGCCCGCCTCGGACTCCCAAAGTGCTGGGATTACAGGCCATTTTCTGTGTTTAGATATACAAATACCATTGTGTTACAGTTGCCTATAGTATTCAGTACAGCAACATGCTGTACAGGTTTGTACCTAGGAGCAATAGGCTATACCATATAGCCTAGGTTTGTAGTAGGCTAAACCATCTAGGTTTTTGTATGTGCACTTTCTGATGTTTGCACAAAGACAAAATTGCCTAACAGTGCACTTCTCGAGTGTATCCCTGTCGTTAAGCAACGCATGACTGTATAACTAAAGTTTCATGGTAGGCCAAAAGCTGAACAACAAACTTGCCTGGAGATTTGGGGAAGACTTCTCTGAGAAGGTGACCTTAGAGCTGAGTTTTAGACTACTTGGAAAAGCAGAGGAGGGGGCATCATTAGCAGAGAAAACAATATACATAATACATAGAGGACTGAAAGGGCCTAACAGTCTGGGAGATACTTTCAGTGTGGCAGAATTTAGAGTGAAAGAGGTGGTGGCTTACTGGTAAATGATGCTGAAAATTGTATTTTAATTTATTCTTAGACAATAGGGAATCAACAGGTTTTAAATCAGAAAAGTGGTATGATACCTGCTTTGTGTTTGTTTGTTTTTTTTTTGAGACAGAGTCTCGCTCTGTCAGCCAGGCTAGAGTGCATTGGCACAATCTCGGCTCACTGCAACCTCCGCCTCCTGGGCTCAAGCAATTCTCCTGCCTCAGCCTCCCCAGTAGCTGGGATTACAGGTGTGTGCCACCATGCCTGGGTAATTTTTGTATTTTTAGTAGAGACAGGGTTTCACCATGTTGGCCAGGCTGGTCTCAAACTCCTGACCTCAGGTGATCGCCCGCCTCAGCCTCACAAAGTGCTGGGATTACAGGTGTGAGCCACCTCGCCCGGTCTCTGCTTGGTTTATCAGAAGATAACTTAGGAGCTGTAAGAACAGGACACCAGGCCTGGGGCGGTGGCTCACACCTGTAATTCCAGCATTTTGTGAGTCCGAGGCGGGTGAATTGCTTGAGTCCAGGAGTGCGAGAACATCCTGGGCAACATGGCGAAACTCCATCTCTACAAAAAATACAAAAATTACCCAGGCGTGGCTGTGCATGCCTGTAGCCTTGTACTAGGGAGGCCGAGACAGGAGAATTACCTAAGTACAGGAGGTTGAGGCTACACTGAGCCCTGATCATACCGCTGCACTCCAGCATGGGTTACAGATTGAGACCCTGTCTCAAAACAAACAAACAAACAAAAAAAAAACACAAAAAAACGAACAAGACACCAGTCATATGTTAGTGAGATTTACACTAAGTTTACTGATCATTTCCAAGAGCAAGCATTCGGTTTTATTGATTTTCTCTGTTTTTTTCAGTTTCAATAATTTCTGCCCTAATTTTGATTATTTCTTTTTTCTGCTTTCTTTAAGCTCAAACTACTTTTCTTTTTCTAGTTTCCTAAGGTAGAAGTGTAGTTTATTAATCCTTAGATCGTTCTTCTTTTATAATGTATACATTTAGTTCTGTGAGGAAAATTTTTTCCTCAAAGAACAGCTTTTGCTGCATTTTATGCATGTTGATAAGTTGTATTTTCATTTAGTTCAAAATGTGTTTCAGTTTCTCTTGACCAGTCTTTGGACCATATGTTTATTTAGAAGTGTGTTGTTTAATTTCCAAATTTCTCTTTTAATTCCATTCTGACCTGGGAGCATACTTTGTATGATTTCTGTTCTTTTAAATTTGTGAAGGTGTGTTTATAGCACAGAGTGTGGTCTGTCTTGGTGAATGTTTCACGTGAATTTGAGAAGAATGTGTATTCTGCTGTTGTTGGATCAAGTATCCTATAAATGTCAACTGTAGATCTAGTTTAATGACAGTGCTGTTCAGGTAAACTATATATGTATTGATTTCCTGCATGCTTGATTTATCAATTAATGTATGAGTGCTGTCTCAAACTCCAATAATCAATTTGTCTCTTTCTCCCTTCAGTTCAGTTTTTGCCCTACATATTTTTATATTCCTTTTAGACCTATACACGTTAAGGATTGTTATGTCTTCTTGGAGAAATGATCCCTTTGTCGGTATATAATGCCTCTTTTTATCCCTGATACTATTTTCTTATCCGAAAGACTACATCTTGTAAAATTAATTTAGCTACTGCATCCTGCTTTTTTTAAAAATCTTTTTTATTTCAAGGGTAAGTCAATAGAATCCAGCTTTCCTTTGATTAGAGTTAGCATGGTATATTTCTCTCCATCTCTTTACCTTTAACCTATCTGATTATTTATGTTTAAAGTTACATTCATATAGATACTATATTGTCTATGGGATTTGAGTTTTTAATCCCCTCTGACATTCTCTATCCTTTAATTGGTGTATTTAGACCACTCACATTTATAATGATTATTGATTTAGTAGGATAAATATCTGTCATGTTTGTAACTGTGTTCTATTTGTTGCATTTGTTCTTTGTTCTTCCTCCCTTCTTTTCTTGCCTTCTCAGGTTTTAACAGCATTTTCTATGATTTCTTTTAATCTCCTATCTTAGCATATTAAACTTTTTTTTTTTTTTTGAGACAGAGTCTAGCTCTGTTGCCCAGGCTGGAGTGCAGTGGGGCAATCTCGGCTCACTGCAACCTCTGCCTCCAGGGTTCAAGCGATTCTCCTGCTTCAGTCTCCCAAGTAGCTGGGACCATAGGCGCCCTCCACCACGCCTGGCTAATTTTTATATTTTTAGTATAGATGGGGTTTCACCATGTTGGCCAGGATGGTCTCAATCTCCTGACCTCGTGATCTGCCCACCTCGGCCTCCCAAATTGCTGAGATTTCAGGAATGAGCCACCGCGCCTGGCAGCATATTAAACTTAATGGTTCCCCTAGATGCCAGCATTCACCTTTTGCTTATCTTGATCTGCCTTCATATGACACTTTGTATCACTGAGGTATACTGCAGGTTTCTTGCAATAGCATTACCAGCTCCTCCCTCCTCTCCCTTGTGATATTGCTCCCATTTATCTTACTTATTCATAAGCTATAATCATCCAACACATTACTGCTATTTTTAAACATTCAGTTATCTTTTACATCAATTAGGAATAATTAAAAGCTAGGCATGATGGCTCATGCCTGTAATCCTCGCACTTTGGGAGGCTGAGGTGAGCAGATCACTTGAGCCAGGAGTTTGAGACTAGCCTGGGAAACATGGCAAATACCTAGCTCTACAGAAAATACAAAAATTAACTGGCCGTGGTGGTATGCTCCTGTAGTCCCAACTACTCAGAAGACTGAGGTGGGAGGATCACTTGATCACGGGAGTTTGAGGCTGCAGTGGGCTGGGATTGCACCTGCACTCCAGCCCTGGTAACAGAGTGAAATCCTGTCTCAAAAAAAGAAAAAAGAAAAAAAAAAGGATAAAAATGTTATATTACCTTCATTTATTCCTTATCCAGTGTTCTTTCTTTCATTAATATAGATACAATTTACTGACCCCTATCATTTTTTCTTCTTCCTGAAGAACTTTTAACATTTCTTGCAGAGAAGATCTCCTCACAACAAGTTCTCTCAGTTTTTGCTTATCTGAGGAAGTCTTTATTCTTTCTTCATTTTTGAAGGATAATTTTATTAGATATAGAATGCCTAGGAATTTGGTGGGTGGGAAATTGGTATGTTAGGTTGGTGGGCTTTTCTCCTAATGTTTAAACTATTTCACTCCTTCTCTTTTTGCTTGCATGTTTTAGATGAGAAGCCCACTATAATTTTTATCCTTGTTCCTTTTTTGATACTGTGTTTTCCCTTCCTGTTATCCCCCTACCTCATCATGCTTCCATGATTTTCTCTTTATGTTTGATTCACTGCAGTTTGAATATAATATGCCTACATGTAGTCTTTTAGGTATTTATCATGTTGGCGTTCTCTGGGCTTCCTGTATCTGTGGTTTGGTGTTTGTCATTAATTTTGCAAAGTTCTCAAAGTTCTTTGTCATTATTACTTTAAATATGCTGTTGCTCCCTTCTCTTTCTAGAAGTTTCTGTTGACCTATCTTCAACTCACTGACTCTTTCCTCAGCAGTATCCATCTACTGCTGAGCCTATCAAAGCATTCTTCATATCTGTTAGAGTGCTTTTGATTTCTAGCATTTCTTTTTTTTTTTTAGAGCCCTGTTGGTATGGTGAAAGTTTGGAGGAAGGGGAAATGTTTTATAATCTTATTACTAAATATCAGTGTTTTAGTGGACCTGGACTCTGGGCTGTGACCTTCCAAGTGTTTCCCCTGGGCTTTGCTTCCTTTATTCTTCCTTTTCCCTTCCTGGACCTCAAGTGAGACCAGAAGGCAAAGGGGCTGGAGTGGAAGAAATGCCCTTCCCCCAGGAAAGATAAGGCTCTGATAAAATCTTTCATCCTGCAGTGTAGGCCTTTGTTATGGAGAATACTCTGAGAGCATTTCACAGTGATTACTCACTCTTCCCCTTCTCTGCTTGAGCCAGGGAGGGGATCTTTCTCAGATCTTGAAAACCTAGTGTGATTGCAACCCTGGAAAGTTGTGGTCCCGGCATTTCTCCCTCTCATGCTAGTCCACTTTCAACCACCACCAGTTTGTCCCACTTACCATTGAGGTGTTCCTACCAGTTCATGGCTGCAGAGACTTCTTATCCAGGTAGGCTGATTTCACCTGTGACTCTGGATTTCTGGGGTTTGTTTGCCCTGCGACCTCAGTTCTTTGATGGGTCCAAGAAAAGTCCTTGAGTTAGAGTTGATCCAGTGGTTTTTTGTGTAAGAACAGGAGATGATTTCAAAGCTCTTTACATTTTGGTGCTAAATCCCTTATTTTGTTTTTTATTTAACTTTTCTTTTCATATTAGTACATGTTCTTTTAACAGTATTCCATGACATGGATGTACCGTGAATTACCTATTGATCTGTTAAAGGACTAGACTGTTTCCAACTTTTTCAGTATCGCAAATGATTATAATAACATAATGCGGTAATTCACATTGTATGACATCTTTGTGATCTGTGTGAATATTTCTACAGGATAGCTTCTTGTTGACTTATATGTGTAGTAATTTCCATTTTACTTAGTACTTCTTGCTGTCTATGAAGAGAAATCCTATTAGTTTTACCAAAGTAATGATGAAAAATTGTACTTTGTTTTTATTTGCATTTCTTGGATTAGTGATTTTAAGTACCTCTTCATATGTGTTGTGTAGTGTTTTTTACTGGGAGTAGTCTATTTGTATTCCATATCTACTATGCTCTAGGGTAGTTGAGTCTGAGTTCCATGGATATCCTAGTTATTAATACTTTGTTAGAAGGGCTGCAAATATTTTTTGCCTATTTGTTTCTTATCTTTTAAGTTTGTGGTATTTTTGGCCATAAGTTTGTCTTTTTTTCCCTTTTAAAGATTTACTCTAAAGTATAAGTATTCCTTTTATATTTGCTACTAATATTGTATTGTTTCTTTACATGGACATCTTTAATCTATTTGGAATTATTAGTTTTTATTTATGGAAAGAAGTAGAAAATAATAACTTTTTATTGTAACCAGTCTGCAGAATTATAGAGTTTTCTCTGTAGTACCCAGCAACCCAAAATTAGAAAAGAAGAAATGATGTGGCTGGGTTCTTGGAGGTATGAATACATGTTGAGAAGGTGTATAGGCCAGGAATGCAGGGGGCGTGAAGATACTGATGAGAATTAAATATAGTCTCACCTCTATTGAACAATTGGGAGAAGTCAAAGGATAAGTGATTCTAGTGAAGACCACAGATTCAGCGAGTGAGAAAGGGAGATGGATTAAAAGACCAGAGTGAGATTTTGGAATTTGAGATGTCAGAAATAAATTCCTAATGATGCCAAGATCTGGGATATATCTTGTGTAAGTTTTAGGTCAGCTGAAGTGCATCTCATTCCTGAGCTCACTCTCCCTGTACTGTGCCTTCCACTGAGGATACTGGTCAGTGATTACCAAGCTAAATGACCTGAACTACAGGTTAGCAAACGTATGTAGAATGCACAACTTGTCAGTATTATGCAGTCACATTTTACGGAAGTATTGCGTTACAAGAATCCTTTTGCAAATCTTTTATACAAAATTTTAACATATGTATAAAAACTCGGAGAATGCTGGGGATCTCAGGTCAGCCTTCCAAAGTTTATTTATTCCATAACATAATTGAATTATACTGTATTAATCATACCAAGTAACCTAACTGCCTTTTAACTATTAAGATAAATCTACCTTTAGGGCTTCTATTAGTGGTTGCAATTTCCGCTCCCAAGATAGCGGTGGGAGCTGTTGTAGAAAGGGTTCCAGAAAGGCAGCAGGGAGATTTCAACAGTTGCTGTTGTAAATTTTATGTAAGTGAAATATTCTTAAATGGAGGTGAGTTGCTTTTGGCTTTGGAATATGTTTTTCTGTAGGAAAAAAATTAAGCACACCAAAAAATGTTTAAATAAATCTGAGAAATTGGGTAGCTCAGGGTATATATAGTATGATGGGTCCATAGACTGGGCTAATCTTGTAGTATCTCATAGTCTGGGCTAAAATATGATAATGACTCTCCTTGAAAGACAGAAAACTTAATGCTTCAGAAGGTAGAAATTTTAAATTCTAATTCAGGACTATATGTAGAACTTGTTTTTGTTTGTTTGTTTTGTACTGTACATATTAGATTGCTGGTTTATATACCCAGTTTGTTGGGATCATCTCAGAGTTTTGCCTTTATTCTTAAAAAGTATAAGAGGTTTGCCTTTGCTTTTCAAAGTAAAGGATTTTCCAGAAAGATTAAGAAGAAGAAAGAAAAAGGAAAACCTCAGGAATTGCTTATAAATCTTTTTTTTTTTTTTTTTTTTTTTTTTTTTTTTTTTGAGACAGAGTCTCGCTCTGTCACCCAGGCTGGAGTGCAGTGGCATGATCTCGGCTCACTTAAAGCTCCACCTCCTCCTGGGTTCAAGCCATTCTCCTGCCTCAGCCTCCTGAGTAGCTGGGACTACAGGCGCATGACACCATCCCCGGCTAATTTTTGTATTTTTAGTAGAGACAGGGTTTCACCATGTTGGCCAGGATGATCTTGATCTCTTGACCTTGTGATCTGCCCGCCTTGACCTCCCAAAGTGCTGGGATTACAGGCGTGAGCCACTGCGCCCGGCAGGAATTGCTTATAATTCTTTGATGAAACTGTAAGATTTCACTTAGCCATATGAGCTTACATTACATTTATTGAATGTAGCTAGTGTGTTTTGTTTCTTCGCTTATATAATTAAAGAGTTAGGAAAGTTATTTAAAGTTTTCAGCAGAGCTACTCAAACGCAGCTAGTTACTTGACAAATATATTTTAAAAATTTAGCCTATTTACTTGATCTATACCCATCATGATTTAAGTAATGGAAAACTGTTTAAATGATTTTGGGTGAGCAAGTTTAAAGTGGTTTTCTCTTATTAACATAAGAGATTAGATTAAGAAATACTATCTGGGTTTGCAGTAATTATCTCATTGCTATTTAAATAAGCCCCTGCTGGCAGTCCTAACATTATTTTTTCTTATGAACCCAAATAGGGTTTGTATTAGAAAGCCAGTTCTTATACACAATAATCCTTATAAATAGTTTGAAAACGCTTACTAACATTAAAATTAAGCGAAAACATTCTTCTGTGGTTTGTTCTTATTTTGCATATCTTTTCTTTATTGCTTTCTAAACCTCTTATTCTACATCCAACTGAGAAATAAATTATTCCTTAATTTTTTGTGTCATTTTGCAAGTCTCTAAAACATAGCACTGTAGGGGCTTATAGTATTTCCTTTGCTTTGCTTGTTTAAATAACTAAAAATGCATATAAAAATTAAATGTTTCATGATCAAGGTAAAGGAAGAAAAGATAACATTTATTGAATGTAACTAGTGTGCTTGGCATGTTACAGAAATGATGTTATTTAAGTTTTATAAAAAGTTCATGAGGAAAGATTTTATAAATGAAAGAAACTCAAGATTCAAGGGTGTTTAGAGCCTTTCTCCTGAAGTTACCTGATTTATTATACGGGTGTGTTTATAAAGGTTTGATAAGTGCCTATTCTTTCTGCTCTTTCACTGCTGAAGAATATTTTAGACATGTTACCTCTTCGTCTGAATTATGTTTTAAATGTAAACATTTAAATGTAGACAAAGCCATGGTTACCAGAGAGCAGGCCTGAAGTGTGAGATGTCCAGGTCCTTGGCGTTTTCCACAAAGAACTGGACAAAATGCACACGCAATGAAGCACAAGTAACGAAGGAATGAAGCAGCAAAAACAGGGATTTATTAAAGCGAGAAAGCACTCCACAGGGTGGGAGTGGGCCCAAGCAAGTGGCTCAAGGGCCTGGTTACAAAGTTTTCTGGGTTTTAAGTGTTCCTTTTGAGGTCCCTATCAGCTACCCCTTATCTGGATGAAGGATTTGGTCCATGGCTAATTAAAGGCTGCGGTGAATTGGTGCCCTATGCAGATGAAGGGATGGCCTGAGCTTGGCCCACAGCCCATCCAGGGCACTTTCCCCTTCCATCTAGGACGTGGTGGAAAGGGGAGGGTTAGGGAGATAGCCTTTGATCCTTTGCTACTCTGGCCTGGGGAGATGGGGCATTTCCTTTTGGTTTAGCTTTTGGAAGTTCCAGACCCAGGTGTTTTCTTTTTGATCCACCTTTGGGAAGTCAGCAGGAGTTGGCCTTAGATCTCTTGCCCCCAGACCTTGGTGTTTAACCTTGATTCATCTTTACGAAGTCAACACATATTGGCCTTAGATGCCCTGTCTCCAGACCCTATTATCCTGTCCCACCATGGTTCAGAAAACTGATATGCTGAAGTGTTATTTGGTACATTAGGAGCAAAGGAGGAATCTGATTTTTTCCCCCATCATTGAGATTATCTGAGTAATTGAGAAGTACCAGTAAACCCACTGAGCTCCTGTTTAAAAAATTATTCATTCTGGCACTTGTTTTTGAGACAGGGTCTCACTCTGTAACCCAGGCTGGAGTACAGTGGCATGCTCATGGCTCACTGCAGCCTTTATGTCCCCAGACCCAAGCAATCCCCTCATCTCAGCCTCCCTAGTAGCTGGGAATACAGGCATGCAGCACCATGCCTGGCCAATTTTTGTATTTTTTGTAGAGATGGGGTTTTGTCATGTGTCCCAAACTGGTCTCAAACTCCTGAGCTTAAAGGATCTGCCTGCCTGGGCCTCCCAAAGTGTTGGAATTTCAGGTGTGAGCTACTGTGCCTGGTCTCTGGCATTTGTAAAAGAGCAACGTGTCAGACTTTATTCAAGACCATCATGATAGATGTAGGGATCATTCCAGTGGGGTTTGCAGTGAAAGGGAGAGACTCGGCTCAACTTGGAAAAGAACAAGGAAAAGTGGTCATGTTATAGCCAAGTAGCAGGGCTGGGGTTGGGGGGCAGTCAGTGGATAGAAAATTACTGAGAGGAAACATTACGGCTTCTGGCTAAACTGACCTAACAAGATTTTTGCCGAAGGCAGGCCAGGGTGATCAGACATCCATCACCTGGAGGATGGCGGGAGATTTGGCCACCCAATCAGATATTAGGATGGGAATTCTGGCTAAACTTACTTAGCAGGTTTCTAATTGGACAATGTAGAGACAAACACTGAAGGCTAAAAGCCAAGCCTAGTTGAGAGGAGAATTCAGAAGAGCCTAACTAGAGTTTGGTCAAGGAGAGAATCTTTGTCACTTCTGATTGGTATGTATCCTTTTGTATCTGATAAAATATTAAATAACCATATTGCAATAGCTGGGTTATATATAGTGAGATAGTATTTGTCATAATGTGATCATGTGTATTTTTAAAATTAAAATGAAAGTTGAGGCCAGGTGCGGTGGCTCATACCTGTAATCCCAGCACTTTGGGAGGCCGAGGCAGGCAGATTGCTTCAGCTGAGGAGTTTGAGACCAGTCTGGGCAACAGGACAAAACCATGTCTCTACAAAAAATACAAAAATTAGACAGGCATGGTGGTGCATGCTGTCATCCCAGCTACTAGGGAGGCTGAGGAGGGAGAATAACTTGAGCCCAGGAGTTCGAGGATGCAGTGAGCACAGTGATTGCACCACTGCACTCCAGACTGGGTATTAGAGCGAGAACCAGTTTCAAAAGAAAAAAAAAAGATTTATGTATTTCAGAAAACTCAAAAAAGATTATTTTCACATTCTGATTGTTACCTGATGCCAAATAAATAAACGTGCTAACTAGAGTCACAGTTTCCAAGTATTTTATAATTTAAAATTGATACCTAATATAAGTAAGCCTGGTGAAGGCCACTTAACTGGGAGTTGGAAGGCCTGGATTCTCATCCAAGTTCTATTTCACTATCGTACTTTGAATGAGTTGTTATCTTGGGGGCCTCTCTTAAAGGTAGGAAGCAATCCCATTTGCAGTAGCAATAGAAAGACTGCAATTCGTAGAAATAAACTTAATCAAAGAAGTGAAAGACTTGTACACTTTAATAAAGCATTGATGAAGGACATTAAAGAAGACATTGATAAATAAAAAGATTTCTTTTGTTCATGGATTGGTAGAGTTAATGTTGTTACAATGTTCGTACTACCGAAAATGATCTGTAGATTAAGCGTAATCCTTATCAAAAATTCCAGTAGCATTCTTGTTCTTTTTTTTTTTTTTTTTTTTTTTTGAGATGGAGTCTTGCTCTTTCACCCAGGCTGGAGTGCAGTGGCGCCATCTCAGCTCACTGCAACTCCGCTTCGCAGGCTCAGGTGATTCCCTGCCTCGGCCTCCTGAGTAGCTGGGACTACTGGTGTGTGCCACCATGCTCAGCTAATTTTTTGTATTTTTAGTAGAGACAGGATTTCACCATGTTAGCCAGGTTCATCTTGAATTGCTGACGTCAGGTGATCCGCCCACCTCGTCCTCCCAAAATGCTGGGATTACAGGCATCAGCCATTGCGCCTGGCCTCCAATAGCATTCTTTACAGAAATAGAAAAAAAAATCTTAAAATTCATATGGAACCACAAAAGAACCCAAATAGTCATAGCAGTCTTGAACAAGAAAAAAACTGAAAGTGTCATTTCCTGATATCAAAATATATTACAAAGCTACAGTAATCTTAATAGTATGGTACTGGCATGAAAACAGACATATAGACCAATGAAATGGAATAGAGACACCAGAAATAAATCCATGCATTTACAGTCAGCTGATCTTCAACAAGGGTTCTGAGAACATGGAATGGTGAAAGATAGTCTCTGTAATAAATGGTGTTGGGAAAACTGGATATCCTCATGCAGAAGAATAAAATTAGACCTTATTTTACACCATATACAACAACTAACTCAAAATGGAATAAAGACTTTAATATAATACCTGAAACCAAAAGCTACTAGGTAAAAACAGGGAGAGCCTCATGATATTGGTGTAGGTAATAATTTAAGTACATAAGGGACTCATGCAACTCATAGCGAAACTCAAATAACCTGATTAAAAAGTGAGAAAGCACCTGAGTAGATGTTTCTCCATAAAAGACATGCAAATATCTAATAGGTATATGAAAAGGTGCTCAGTATTAATAATCATCAGGGAAATGCTGATCAAAACCACAATAAGATATCCCCTCACACCTGTTAGAGTGGCGAGAATGTTGGCCAGAAGGTGGAAAGTGTTGGCCAGAATGTGGAAAATGGGGGACTCTTGTACACTGTTGGTGGGAATATCAATTGGTATAGCCACCTTAGAAAACAGTTTAGAGATTCTTCAAGAAATTAAAAATAGAATTATCTTTATGATACAGCAGTCTCATTTCTGGGTATATTTCCAAAGGAAATGAAATCAGTATCTTGAAGAGATGCCTGCACTCCCATGTTTGTTGCAGCACTATTCACAAAAGCCAAGATATGGAAATAATCTGAATGTCCCTTGACAGAAGAATGACAAAGAAAAGCAGATATGTATGTGTGCGTGTGCAGCACACAGAGTGGAATATTATTCGTCCTTATAAAAGGAAGTGCTGTCATTTGCAACAATACAGATGAACCTTGAGAACATTATACTAAATGTGAAATAAACCAGTCATGCAAAGACAAATACTGTATGATATCACTTACATGTGGATTATAAAATTGTCAAACTCACCGAAGTAGAGAGTAGAATGGTGGGTGCCAGGGGCTGGAGAGAGTGGGCGCCTGCCACCACGCCCGGCTAATTTTTTTTTGTACTTTTAGTAGAGACGGGGTTTCACCGTGTTAGCCAGGATAGTCTCGATCCCCTGACCTCGTGATCCACCCGCCTAGGCCTCCCAAAGTGCTGGGATTACAGGCGTCAGCCGCCGCGCCCAGCAGAAAAAAAAAATTTTTTTTGAAGTGTTGGAGTATCATGAATCCCCTAAGTCCTATCCACTATCTCTAGATTATCAACTCTAGCTACAGGGTAAGGAAAAGGAGCAGAACTATACATAATCTAAAATGTTAGCTAATTTATAAAATTTTTATAGTTCACTTCAAATTTAAGTTTTGTTCTGGGGATTTCCAGGACTGTAAATACCAGCACATAGTAGGTTATTGGAACATATTTGTTGAAATATTTATATTTGGAAAACATATTTTTCAAGAATAAGATACATTGGACATCTTTGAACTGGACTAACTTCTGTTATTTTGCAGATTAAATGCTCCCCCCAGCCCTTTGCCTATGTGTTAGCACTGTTTCCAGCAGTTGGGCACTTGAGAGTGTGCTCAGTGCTCTCTGCACAGTAGTTATTCAGTGCAAACAAGCCATTGGCAGAGTTCTAGGCAGAATTTGTCTGACTCCTCTTCACCTGTGATGAGTTACATCGTGTCCTCCTGTTAGCTACAGTGCCTCAGCATATGCCCGTAGTCAAGTATGGAATTCACTCAAAATTCTCAAGGGCAAGTGTGTTTGAAATTCTTGTTCTTAGTTTTAAAAATCAGTAGGCAGATATTTAGTAAATAAAACTCTAACCTTGCTGTAGTCCTTCATTTCTTAAGAAATGGCATACTGGCATATGTGGTTCTGTAGCAAAATTAAAAATTAATCTCAGGTGTTGCCTGCTTTTCTATGGATTAAAAAGTAAATGGCCCTTCATCCAAATTCTGCATACCCAGAATGTCCTCCCAGCCTTCCTGGTTCCTTTTGTAAGATATCCTGTTTTTGTGTCTACACTTAGCCAATTGCTGGCATCATTAGTAGTGGTTAAAAAGGGGTAATGATGCTTTCTGAAAGCTTACTGTTACTGATTCTGTGTATACTTTAACTCAATGGTTAGTTTGTGTATTTTTTTAACTGCAGCTCCAGCAAGGGATACATTTTGCATTATGATTCAGTACACAGTAATACACCTTTATCTGAAATAAGCTTCATGAAACAAGTTATTCTTTTCTTATCTTCTATTTTTTTCTATTCTATTTCACTTCTTTGAAAAATGCTCATCATTATCCACTAAATGATTTAACATGACTTACCAAACTATAGTTTTAGAAAGTAGTTTTCAGTCACATGATCATTTTCACTGTCCTTTTATGATTTATAGGATAAAGTAGGATAGTATTATATTCAATTTGCATATTTTAATCTATAAGATACACTATTCTTCATGTACTCAAAGTATACTTGAATTTTCTAGCAAAAAAATTAAGTAATTATAAATTAAATAACTAAAAATAGAAAATTTTGTGAGGTTTTGGGGTTTTTGACTGTCTTAGATGTTTTGAGATTTGGGTAAAGTTTGTTTTTTCATTATTTTTACATTAACCATTAAGAAATCCATTAATAGTTTTGTGATCTCTTTCTCTTTATGTTTTTATTTTATTTATTTATTTAAAGACAGAGTCTCTGTCACCCAAGCTGAAATGCAGTGGCGTGATCTTGGCTCACTGCAGCCTTAACCTCTCAGGCTCAAGTTATCTTCCCACCTCAGCCTCCTGAGTACTTGGGACTATACGCGCACACTACCATACCTGACTAATTTTTGTATTTTTAGTAGAGACAGGGTTTTGTCATATTGCCCAGGCTGGTCTCGAGCTCCTGAGCTCGAGCCATTCACCGGCCTCGGCCTCCAAAAGTGCTGGGATTGCAGGTGTGCACCACTATTCCCGGCGCCTTTATTTTTGAACTTGATATGACTAAACTAATTGGAAACATTTATTACTTGTCTGATTAATGTTTTACATTTTATACAAATTGTGGCAAAGTGAGTAAGAACTTCCAATGCTGAGATTCATAATTTGCCCTTCAGGGGGATTTATCAAATTTTGCTTCTCTGTCTTTTCTGTTTAAAGAAGTAGAAAGATATATTTTAGACAGAATTTTCTATTTTGCAAATTTCTTATAAGCTCTTACATGCATGCTTGACCTAGTCAAGATGATGATGTTTTGACTGTTCATGTATTGACATTTTCCTACAGAATTAGAAGTGCGTCTCACCAACCAGCCAAGATGAACATGGTGAAGAGGATCATGGGGCGGCCGAGGCAGGAGGAGTGCAGCCCACAAGACAACGCCTTAGGACTGATGCACCTCCGCCGGCTCTTCACGGAGTTGTGCCATCCTCCCCGGCACATGACTCAGAAGGAACAAGAAGAGAAACTGTATATGATGCTGCCAGTGTTTAACAGGGTAAGTCCAGGTTGCCAGACACACACCTTCCGGGACTGGGGGGCACTACAAGAATCTGAAGGTTACTGGTAAGCCATAGGTAGAAAAAAATGATAGGCTGAGTTAGTTTTAAGAAGTTTGGTGTTCTCGTTTCATGTTTTCAATTTGCTATAAAGCAGTGTGACTTGATGTGAAACCTGGTCAGAATAAACTACATTTAGTGAGACTTTTTGATTTTTAACAGATAAAGTGCAAGCTGTGAGCCATTGTCTAAAATGGCCCTGTTATGGTTGAGATTTGGAAGAGGAATAGATTGTAAATTATCAATTGTGTTATTTCTGTTATCTGTTAAAGTGATGATTTTATTACACCAAATGGTGCAACTGCCCAAGCCCTTTGTATACTTTAAAAAGTCATTACAATTTGCTGTTGTTTAAGAGATGCTGTAAGAGGATAGTTATAGGCTATAGATAATTCAAATAGAGTTAATGTTTTCATATGTTTTGTAAATTACATGTAGCAATCTTGTTGGGTATTTTTAAAATAACAATTTTTTTAGGCCAGGCGTGGTGGCTCACGCCTGTAATCCCAGCACTTTAGGAAGCCAAGGCAGGTGGATCACCTGAGGTCAGGAGTTTGAGACAAGCCTGGCCAACATGGTGAGACCCCATCTCTACTAAAAATAAAAAATCAGCCAGGCGTGGTGGCACGTGCCTGTAATCCCAGCTATTCGGGAGGCTGAGGCAGGAGAATCGCTTGAACCCGAGAGGCGAAGGTTGCAGTGAACTGAGATCACGCCATTGCACTCCAGCCTGGGCGACAAGAGTGAAACTCTGTCTCAAAAATAATAATAATAATAACTTTTTTATGTTTATCAGAAGTTCACAAATACATCATTTTAAAAAGTCAGATAGTTTCACAGGCTTATAGGTTCCCTCCTGCTCTTCACCACTAATTGCTGCCGCCATGAAAGACTTTTAAATAACATACTTTTACTGCTGTTGTGTAGTTTTAATTGACTTCCTACTGAGGAATATAAGAATTAGCTTCTTTACTTCCTCTCCCTCCAAACCATAATGTACATACATACATACATACATACACTCATTCATACATGCTGCCCTCCTCATCCTTTCCCTATAGTTAGGCTACTTGTGTAAGCAGTATTCAGTGTTTGCTCTCTACTGACAGTGATATAAATTTAAATTTATTCAAAGATGAACCTTATACTATACTACCTTTATTTTTCCATTATTATAGAACTTGTTCTCCTCAGACTTCCTGTCTCAATTTCTTTCTCTGCATGTCTTTGTTTCTTGGTTTCCCTTCTCTCGCTCTTTTTCCTCCTCCTTTCTCTGTCCCTCCCACATCTTCTCTGCCTTGCCCTGTCTGTCTTTTTTATCCTGTGTCTGCCTGCCTTCCCCTGTTTCCATTTCTTTCTTCCTATCTGTCTGTCTCTCTCTATGCCTTTCATCTCTCTTTCTCTTCTCCATCACTGTCTTTCTGTCCTCCCATTTCTCTCTTTGTCTCCTCTCTGTCCCTATTTCTTTCCCTGTCTCTGACTCTCCCCTGTCTCTTTTTCTTCTCCCCTTTTTCCAGATCTATCTCCATGCCCCTGACGATGCCTTTCTCCACACCCACCCCCTCACCCCGTGCCCCAATCTCTGACTGGCTCTGTCCCCTGTAGTCTCACTTGTTGTCTATATTATTTTCTCTGTTCATCTATCTTTTTGTGTGAAATTTTCTAGGCTCTTCCTCTTCTCATTATTTTGAAATTTTATTGTGGCTTCAGCTTAAGCCTTCTTAATCTGAAAACTTGTATTGTTCAGTCTCGGTAAATATTCTGAAATATTTCTTTGAGAATATTCTCCTCTATATCTTATATGTTCCCCCTTTTCTGGACCTCTGTCAATCAAGCAGTAGTTCTTTTAGAGTAATGTTGTGCTATTAATATCACAGTTTTAATTTCCTTGAATTCTTTGTTGTTTTACTATTATTTATTTATTTTTTTAGTATGTCTCATGTTCAGTAGATAGACTATCACTGAATCTCCAGTGTTCACATATCAGTGTTCTTGTCTTTGATTTGTGGTGGTATCTCTCTTCTTCCTCGTAAGGAACTAGACTTCTAGTTGTCTACTGCACTGGGGAGGAACAGTCACCTTCAATTTCTGGGCTGTAAAATAATAATAATGTCAACCTTATTGGGTTGTCGTGAGGGTTAAATTCAGATAATATACTTACAGCACTTAATAAGTGTTTGTCCCAAGAAATGTGTACCTATTATTGTTATTATTGTATCTATTATTGTTTTTGTTACGTGAATTTATTATTTTTGTTGTTGGAAATACTAGTGAAAGGGAATGAATGAGAAAGAAAGAGTTGAAAGGGGGCAATAAAAGAATTGATTAGTATTGATGGCTCAGTGAAGGTTGGAGATGATAAATTTATACTAAACCTTATCAGTACTGGCCTGTGTGAAAAAGTAGAGAAAGCAATACCTGATTTATTGAGATTGAGGTTTGTATAGGCTGGTAAGGCAGAAGGGCAAGAGTGCCAGGAAGGTTAGTTCACATATCACCCATGAGCTTGTGTTGGATACAACAGAAGAGGATAGAAACATTAACGCATTTATAGAATGTACATTTCCTTACTTATGAAATAATAGGATAGATTATCTGCTGAGAATGATAGAGGGAGGAGATGGTAGAGTAGGAACGTGAGAAGAGGTGGGGAAAGGTTTAAAATAGCTCTTTTAAAAATGGGAGAGAGAACTATGACAAGCCATTGTTTTAAGCCCTATTCAGGGAAGTTACTAATTTTTATTACCAGGAAGTTAATAATTTTTGTTATCTGGAAGTTTGTTTTGTTTTTAAATCTTATTTTTGTTTTACTTTAACGTCATGATGTGCTGTTGGCTACTGAGGAGTTTGAGGTAATTTCCTTCTGTCAGACTTAGGAATGTTTACAAGGTAATGAGAATGTTTAGAGCAGTTAGGGGAATTGTTCTTGGCTATTAACATGAATTATTAAGTAATAGCCTACATATATATGTATCCCATGTATTTTATCAGTTAGGCTTCCACAGTCTACTAGACTAGAAGAATCTCATGACTATTTGTTTTTTTAATAAGTAGATATGAGATGCTTTAGTAATTATTCTCTATCTACTTAAAATGTTTGACTTAGTTATCTTATGTCCTATGTTATTGTAAGTCTCATTAACTATTAACAAATTCTCTCAAAAGTTTTTAATTGGTTGATTAGAAACATATGTGTATGCAATGCCTTAAAACTCTAATATAATGAGTGATTTGATATCACAAAGGTTCAGTAAACTCTTAACTAATGAAAAGATAGAAAGTTATATCTGTACCATTGTGACTAATTTGAAAAATGTATTATTTTAAAAATAATTCTTATTAATTGGATATAATTAATAAACTAAAATTGTTCTTAGATACCATTTCCATTAAATTTAGAAATATATAGCCATATCTATTTAACATTTGGCCGTTTGTGCTTGAACATTGTCCACTAGTGACAAATACCTATGGTGAGTGAATAGCTCAGTATGTTGCTAGAGCCAACCAGTTCTTACCATGATTGCTAAAAAGGAATTGCAGTGTTGATTTTTGAGACTTTGCTTGATTAGAGCTAAATGGTGAACAAGCTGTTAGACATGGACATCTAGCTACAGACTAGTTTTTAAAGTGTGCTTAATAGTGTTATTTCAGTGCATGATTTTTGCCTTTGAGAGACATGGGTTGGGAAATGACATGTATTAAGTCTTTTTTCTGGGCCAGGTCTCATGCTGGGTTCTTGAAATGCCTCCTGTTGTCTTCATTACAGTCCTACAAGGAGGCTGCTGTTATCTTCCCTCTTACTGATTTGCTCAAACTGAAAGATTATGGTGAAGTCTGAAAATAGCTGAATAATATTTATTCAGCATTCTTAAAAATAATTAACATTTAGTCCCAAGAACAAAAGCTGACAAAGAAAACATTTGGTTTAAACTTACTCAAAATGAGTAGCATTTTAGTTGTCTAAAAATTCATAACTGCCACTGTTAATTACTGTAGTATTTGTTATATTTTGCTGTGTATTTTAAAATGTAATGTTTACCAATTAGATCTTTTGTAAGAAACTCCCCTTATTTTTTAACTTATTTCCAATTTATATTTGAGAAGCATGTAAATGTAATACAGTGTCCTTTTTTAATCCCTTACAAATTATCATTACTTTTTAATTTGTTGACTTAAGAGAGAGGTCACCCAAACTTAGAACCAAATAAGAGAGAGATCAGAAGGCAGACAGGTGAATTATTTTGTGGCAGCTTTATTACTTATTACATAATACCAATACAGTTGATACTGGAGAATGTGGCTTGGGTCTGTGCAACAAAGGACTTGCTGAATTCAGCCCTGAAATAGTCATGTTTACTTACCCAGTCACTGGCAGAACTGGACAGTGGCAAGCCACAGCCAGAGCAGATGAGAATGCATATTCTCATGAGGCAGGCAAAGCCCGGAAGGAGAGGACGGGACTGAGTTAGGCATTCTGTTCTTCTCAGACTCTCATCTGATGGTCCTTCATAGAAACAAAAAGAGCATAAGATAAATATTTCCCTAATCATTTATATTAATTGATAAGAAATCTTAACTGATTTACCATACGAAATAATGCAATTACATCTTCATTGTTAATTTTTTAACATTGTTATTTATAGCAAATTATTTTAGGACTAATGATGGTCCATAGTCTGACTTAATTTTAGATATAACACATATTTAGGAAACAAAAGCCTCCATTTTTAAAAACTTTGTAAACATTCCAACCTCTCTTTTATTAGTCATATTTAATATATTTTTATTGAATAGCACTATTCAGTAACAAGTTTATATTGAGCCTTTATGAATGCCATTAGATAACACCATTAATTTGCTTTCCCTGAGTGCCAAAAATATTTGGTTGAAGAGGTGCCAGGAAATCTTCTGAAATCTATTTAGGTGGATATTAAAAATGATTATTTTAAAAATAAGTCAAACCATGCTATTTTTCTCTAAAGATGAACACTATGCACAGTTTAGTGATAGGGTTCATGCACAGTTTGAGAAAAATATAGTACTGAGTGATGAAGAGCCTGGCTTGGAATCAGATAGATGTAGTTTTAAATTCTGTCTGTATTGCCTCCTGTTTTAAGTTAAGTTGTCTAACTCTTAATTTTCTTAACTGTAAAATGAGGCTACTAGTAGAACCTATTCTGTAGGATTTTATGAGACTTAAATGACACCAAGTTCTTGAATAGTGCTACGCAGATTTTAAATGGGTATTATATGGTAATTGTTATTTCCAGTGAATTTGCAAGAAGTCATTTTTGTTCTTCATTACCTTTTTTTTAATCTGTTATGAATTTCACATATGTATTCTAGAATCAGCCCTTTTGAGTTGAATGTGTTGCCAGTTCTCTTGCCCAACTTTCTTCCTCTGCAGAACCAGAAATTTTTTGTCGTTGTTTGTTTGAGACCAAGTCTGGCTCTGTTGTTGCTCAGGCTGGAGTGCCATGGTACCATCTTGGCTCACTGCAACCTCCACCTCCCAGGTTCAAGCTATTCTTATGCCTCAGCCTCCCAAGTGGCTGGGACTATAGGCATGTGCCACCACACTCAGCTAATTGTTATATTTTTAGTAGACATGGGGTTTCACCATGTTGGCCAGGCTGGTCTCAACGCCTGACCTCAGGTGATCTACCCACCTCAACCTCCCAAAGTGCTGGGATTAAAGGCATGAGCCACCATACCTGGCCTAGAACTGGAAAAATTTGACAAGTAGTCAGTACTCCCTGAGAGTGAGAAGTAGAATCTACACCTTCTGACACCCAGCTTCATGCTGCATCCTCTTTGGCAAACATTTATGTAAATGATGGAAGCATTGTATAGTTTCAAGAAATACCACTACTTGTTGAAAGTAGTGAACACATACATAATATTTTTAGATTCAGTTGTTGAAGTCAATCACCAAAACTACACTATTTTCTTTGCTACCTTATCCATTCAGTATTACCTACAATGTCAGATTCATGCTTTAGTTCCTCTATCCCTCCAACCTTATCTTGTACCATTTTTCCTCTTATACAAAATGCCCCAGCTTTATCAGCCTCATTTTCATTCCTGTACACCCCAGAATCAATCTCACTTTGAGGTCTTTGCACAGCTCTGATCTCACTGCCTGCAACCCTCTTTCCTTGTCTCTTTGGATTGTAACTTTTCCTCATTAGTCAGTGTCATCCTTTGGCACCAGTGTCGCTTCTTCAGAAAGACCTTTCCTGACAACCTTCTTCCCACCCCAGGCATTCTCTTTCAGCTACCCTATTTTACTTTCTTCATAATACTATCTTTAAATAATTTTAATTTTAAAATCAACTTATTTACCACTGGTCTTCTGTGCTAAAATGTCCTGTGTTTCATGAGCACAGGAATCATATTTGTTTTATTTACCTTTGTATTCAGGACCCTTCGAACATTGCCTGGCACATATACTAGGAAGTCGATAAATATTTGTGAGTGAATAAACCTTATTTAAGAAGCAATGCTTGTTCATTTCAGATTAGCAAATATGACATAGTCTTTTTCTGTAGTACTGATTTTGGGTTGGTAAATTCAAGCCAGTTTTATTTATCTTGTCAGAACATTTCTTAGAGGAAATAAAGCAGTAAACATCAGGATTTGTGTAAAAAGTTACTGGCATTTTCAACAGCATATTATTTACCCAGCATGAAGACTGGTTGAATAATTATATCCTTAACAACTGTTCAAGAAATGAGCTATTGGTTCTGTTTAGTTGTCCTAATAACTATTAGCAATAAAATACCTCATACTAATTCTTAGGAGCAAAATATACATTGATACACCCTGAGTAATAGGAATATTATAAACACCTCCATTAAAAAACCATGTACTCAGCCAGGAGAGTTGGCTCACGCCTGTAATCCCAGCACTTTGGGAGGCCGAGATGAGCAGATCACCTGAGGCCAGGAGTTCGAGACCAGCCTGGCCAACATGGTGAAACCCCATCTCTACTAAAAATACAAAAAAAATTAGCCGGGTGTGGTGGTGGGTGCCTGTAATCCCAGCTACTCAGGAAGCTGAGGCAGGAGAATCACTTGAAACCAGGAGGCAGAGGTTGCAGTGAGCCGAGATTGTGCCATTGCACCACTCCAGCCTGGGCAACAAGAGCAAAAACTCTGTCTCAACAGCAATAACAAAAGGCTATGTACTCATCTCTGAGCACAGGTGGAATGGCTATTCAAAGATGTGTCATTATTAGGTTTCTCAATTTTTATCAGTCTTCAGTTTGTTAAAGAATAGAGGTTTCTGGCCGGGCACAGTGGCTCATGCCTGTATTCCCAGCACTCTGGGAGGCCATCATGGGCAGATCAGTTGAGCCCAGGAGTTCAAGACCAGCCTGTACAACATGGCGAAATTCCTATCTCTACAAAAAATACAAAAATCAGCTGAGTGTGGTGGCAGGCACCTGTAGTCATAGCTACTCAGGAGGCTGAGGTGGGAGAATCACCTGAGCTCAGGAGGTTGAGATAGCAGTGAACCATGATTGCGCCACTGCACTCCAGCCTGAATGACAGAGTAAGACCCTATCTCAAAAAAAAAAAGGGGAGGTTTATTTAACAGGTAACATAGATTATTTAACAAGTAGTATAGGTTAATTCTAAGCACACAACATTTATCAAAATCTCAGGAAAAAAATGTGTTGAGGAAGTATTGAAAAGTACAGTTTATTTTTTGAGATTTTGAGATTATTACAAATTATTCATTTGTCAAACTATTGAACAGACTAGGTGTCTGGAAAAAACGATACCCTTGTAGAATTTATTTATTGTTTTAGCATTTTCAACTTAATTTGAGGGAGGTTATAAGAAACATGTAAGAAACACATTTTCTATTAGAAGGATATTACATTGTTTGTTATATTCTTTTATTGGGATCTTTGGAAGGAATTGTTTATATTATGCAGTAATCCCTCCTTATTCATGGTTTTGCTTTTCATGGTTTTGGTCATCTGTGGTCTGAAAATATTAAGTGGAAAATTACAGAAACAAACAATTCATAAGTTTGAAATCTGACACCATTCAGCTCCATCCCTCCCGGGATGTGAATTATTCCTTTGTCCAGTGTATCCATGATTTATGGGCCACCTGCCCAATAGTCACTTAGTAGCAGCCTCAGTTATGAGACCTATTGTCCTGGTATCAAGCTGCTTGTTTTCAAGAAACTCTATTTTCCTTAATAATGGCCCCAAAGTGCAAAAGTTATGGGGTTGGCCACTTGTGTATGCCAGAGAGAAGTCCTTCCTTTAAGTGAAAAGGTAAAAGTTCTTGACTTAATAAGGAAAGACCAAAAACTGTGTGCTGAGGTTTTTGAGATCTATAATAAGAAGGAATCTTGTATTTGTGAAATTGTGAATAGTATATTATTACAATTTTTTTACTTTATTATTATTGTTGCCAGTCTCTTACTGTGCCTAATTTATTACTTAAACTTTATCACAGGTATGTATTATAGTAAAAAATACAGTGTTTACGGGCTTTGGTACTATCCGTGGTTTCAGGCATCCAGTGGGGTCTTAGAACTTACCTCTCACAGATAAGGGGGGACTAGTATAATATGAGGAATAGAACTACTTCCTTAAATATATATATTTTTTCATGCTAAAGGCATTGTGAATGATGTGATTGATCAGGTTTTCTCTTCTGTATCTTTGAGCCAAAATTTGTAACCAATACATGGAAAATATAGAGGTCTTTCCAGTCTTAGATTTTTATTTAGTTTTCTTTTCCAGTCCATCTCCCTAGCTGGGTCTTTTATTTGCTTGTTTGTTTTGTTTTCCTTCTTGATTTTAGTTTATGTTCTCATGTTCTCCTTCAGTGCTCCCTGAATGTTCTCTAGAATTTGATTGTGAGGGCAGTCAGCATATAAATAAACAACCATATTTAGGGAGCATTACTATAAAAGGCAGAGTGTTGGCTTGGGAGAATATGAAGTTGAGTAAATTATGTTTTCTCCTTTTGTAGTGACATTTCAATAGGTAATAATAATATAAATTACTGTGTAATGACTGTTAAAAGGGAGAGATACTATAATAGCCTTAGAATATAGAGAATTTCCTTTCAGCTATAAAGAATATTCTTTAAAATAATACCTCAGGATATATCTAGTTATATACCCATTAAAATACCATTTCTTTTCTTATGATGGTCTGTCCAGGTTTCATTTTCTCAAATTCTCTTTGCTGAACTCATACCCATTTATTTTTAAAAATTATTTATTTTAGGCAGGATATAGTGGCTCACACCTGTAATCCCAGCACTTAGGGAGGCAGAGGCAGGAGGATAGCTTGAACCCAGGAGTTCAAGACCTGCCTGGGCAATATAGCAAGAACCAGTTCTCAAAAAAAAAAAAAAAAAAAAAAAAAAAAAAAAAAAAAAAAACAGATAAATAAAATTAAAAATAAGAATTATTTATTCTAAAGCTCATTTATTTTAAAATTTGTGTAAAAACAAGTTTGTTTCATGACCCTCCCATTTCTGTTTTCTAGTTTTTTTGGTAACAGCCTTGTTTTGTAAATTATTGTGATTAGACTGAGGAAATTCTGAGACATGAAATGAGTTTAGTGAATTCTGACGTCAGCCTGGGATTTAGCAGTAGAGCTGCTTTTCACCATCCAGTGTGCCTGTACTCCATCAAAGATCCTTTATAACTTTTCTCTAAATTCTCAAATTAGCTTTCCTCAGAAAAATGTTGGCTGGATGTGGTGGCTCACGCCTGTAATCCCAGCACTTTGGGAGGCTGAGGCAGGCGGATCACCAGAGGTCAGGAGTTCAAGACTAGCCAGGCCAACATGGTGAAACCCCATCTCTACTAAAAATACAAAAATTAGCCAGGCATGATGGCATGCACCTGTAGTCCCAGCTACTTGGCAGGCTGAGGCAGGAGAATAGCTTGAACCTAAGGCAGAGGTTGCAGTGAGCCAAAATCGTGCCACTACACTCCAGCCTAGGCGACAGAGTGAGAATCTGTCCCCCCCAAAAAAAAAGAAACGTTATAATTTCTAATGTTTTTCGTGAGATTGATTCAAATTTTATCAATAATGTCTATGGGTCTTAGATTTCATTTATTTAATCATTTCTTCAACAAATTTATATGTAAAAGGAAATGTGGCTAGACATGTGATTTATTGAAAGCGTTGTATTTTCAACATATTAAGATTCAAAGTAACTGTGTAGGTAGACTTTTCTGGACTTGATTTTCAAGTCATACCACACTTGAAAATTCACAAAATAAAAAGAAAAATTTGTCAGTGCTTCATTAACAATGTCTTTTCTTATCTACAGGTTTTTGGAAATGCTCCGCCGAATACAATGACAGAAAAATTTTCTGATCTTCTGCAGTTCACAACACAAGTCTCACGACTAATGGTGACAGAAATTCGAAGGAGAGCATCAAACAAATCCACAGGTATTTTTACAGTAGCCAGCAAAAACTGATTTGTTTGAATGAACAAGCAGTTCTGTAAAAGTCCCATTAAAATTAAATGGAAAACAGACCTTGTTCTCAGCACATTGAGTTCATTTACCCATTCCCTTTCCCTTTCTTAGAGTCACATTCTTTTCCTGGTTTCAGCATCTTCAACTCTCCAGTAGTTCTGCTCAAGGCTACTCTGCCTGGACCACTACCACTTCCACCCTAACCCTTTAAAATACTCTGTTTCCCTTTGAGCAAAATACAAATTCCTCAGCATGAAATTTAAGGCAAAGCTATCATCTGGTCTTTTTTTTTTTTTTTTTTTTAGCATACCCTGCTCTATTGCTTGTTTTCTTTTCTGTATTTCAACCAAATCCAGCTGTCTGTAGTCTTCAAACATGTGTATACTCTTATTTTAATCATTTACTTAGAATGCTTCACTGAGGAAGGAGAATCTTTCCTCATTTCAATATGTCTAAATGTCAGCATGATTAAGTCATGCTTCCTTGATGAAATGCTTTTTGATTTCTTTAGGCAAAGAAAATTTTTTTCTGTTCTGAACTACTGTTTTTCTTCTCAACCTCCTGGGTGGTCATTGTGCATGTGTCTTGATCTTCCCAGTAGACCATAAGCTACTTAGGGGTCTCTGTGTCATCTGTAGTAGTTGCTCTCTAGGCCAGTGCACAGCTGCCATTTTAACATCACTATTCACATTGTCCTGGGATGCCTTTTCATTTTTTGGGGGTGGATTCTGTTTCCTGAATCCCTTAATTCCTAATTTTGGTAAAGCATATTTTCCAGCAGCTTTATAAAAAAGGATACAGGGGAGTTATTAGGGTTTTGTTCTGCTTGTTGTTTTAGACATACCCTGAGTTAAACATTTTTTGACTATTGCTGTGAAAAATGGGTTCTTTTCTTTTCAGTAAGTAAAGTGATACCTTTAGCCTGACAACCTTTCAGCTGCCAGGACTTAGAACAAATTCCACTACATCATACAGCATGATTATTATAGAAAAGGAAATGTATTTAATACAAAACCAAGGGTCAATAAGAGACAAGAAGACACATATCTACGACTCTCATGATCTCACAGATACATGTGCTGGGGAGATGTGCTGAATACACAGCTGTGGTTTACGTTTAAATGGAGAGATACTTCTGTCTCCTCCTCTCCATCCCCCATTGTTCTCCATTCCTAAAGGACAAGCTCAAGAGTAATCTTGTTAGTAAAGAGACATTTAAACTGCCTATGACTTAGGCCATTGAATACTTGTTAGATATTTATAGGAGTTGTTTGAGAATGCTAGCTGTGTAATCCAGGAGGTCCTCTTAGCAGAGATTAGAAGCTACTAATTGCCTGGGAAAGTTGACCATGGGTTGAGATGGTCAGTGGTGGGTGTCTTAGCTCTGTCCTTCCATGCAGCCCAGGATGAGCACTCAGGGTCATTTTGGAAAATCTTGCTGCTTGCATTATTATCAGTCATCCTTTAAGTAAGTATCAGGTTCTGTGTGGGAAATCATTTTGTCTCAGAATTTAAAAAATTTTCTTTTATAATTTAGGCTCTTACATTGTTATTGAGAAATCGAAAGCTACGTAGATTCTTGATTTTTTTTTCCTCTGTGACCTATTTTTTTTTTTCTAGAAGCTTTTAGGATCCTCTCTTTGTCCCTGCTTTTCTAAAATTTCATAATAACATGCCTTGTGGTAGACCTATTTTTATACATGTGCTGGGTACTCATTGAACTCTTTCAGTCTGGTTATTCATATCCTTTAATTTGGGCAAAGTTTCATGAATTGTTTAATGATATCCTCCTCTGTTTTCTCCTTCTAGTTAGATGACCTCTTAGACTGTTCCTCTCATTTTCTTATCTTTCTTCTCATTTTCTATCTTTGTGTTTTGACTACTTGCTAAGAGAACTCCTCAATTTTATCATCTATCTCTTCTATAGAGTTTTTTTTTTCATTTGTGACATTATATTTTTCTCATTTTAAAAAATGTTTTTCATTTCTAAGTGTTCTTTCTTAACTGGTTTCTATTATTTTGGGGCTGCATTTTCTTCTTACCTTTCTGGGGTTTTTTTTGTTTTTTTTTGTTTTTTTTTTTGGTTTTTTTTTTTTTTTGGGACGGAGTCTTACTCTGGCCCCCATGCTGGAGTGCAGTGGCGCGATCTCAGCTCACTGCAACCTCTGCCTCCTGGGTTCAATCGATTCTCCTGCCTCAGCCTCCTGGGTAGCTGGGACTACAGGCACGTGCCACCATGCCCGGCTAATTTTTTTTTTTTTTTTTTTTTTAGTAGAGACGGGGTTTCACTGTGTTAGCCAGGATGGTCTCTATCTCCTGACCTCATGATCCGCCCGCCTCAGCCTCCCAAAGTGGTGGGATTACAGGCATGAGCCACTGCGCCCGGCGGTTTCTTGTTTTTCTTTCAGATTTTTGTCTCCATAAATAATCTGTTTCTTTCAGGTTTAATAAAAAGGTTTTTTTATCAATTTGTTTTTGTCTTTGTCTCTTATGTTAGAGAATGTCCATACATGTCTCACCCTTGATCATCTGCTCTTACATAAGAATGGAGCATTAAAAAGCTTTTTAATTGTGTGTGAAGCTTGCAGCTGTGGGCTGCAACATAAGATGATCTTGCTAGGCTGTTTTTTTGGTGATCTTTTTCCTAAACTAAGCAGGTGCTCAGAGAATTGTCCAGTCTCTGCTTGGAAGATATATGCCTGACTCAGCACTTTGGAAGCAAAGTAGGGGAAAGGTTTGGAGACCTCAAGCTTTAGTATATAAGCTTTTATTTTACCTTTGTATGTCCACATGGTGCCTTGTGCCCCTCAATGCGTACTCCCTCTCTTACTCTTTTCAGTGAACAAACAAACCTCTGGTCTAGGGCCCACATAGTAGTAGGGACCTTGGGTCTAACTGCTCTTGAACATATTTTCCACCAGTCCTTCTCTGTGTAGTTGCTTATTTACTTCTGCTTCCAAAGGTGCATTGTGCCACCAATTCCTGAGCCTCTCAGGGGTTCTTTGGTAGTTTGGTTGCTTTTCCACTTTTCCTGAATTACTTCAAGATTCTAGGGTTTGCTAATCAGTAACCGTGAATCTCTCTGCTATTTTAATATCCAAAATTTCATTGCTTTCACTTATTCTGTTCTTGTTCTTAAAAGTTTATACCTTTTAAAAATACGTTTACAAGCATTTTAATGGATGTATTCATCCATTTTCACAGTACTGTGAGGAAATACCCACGCTGATGAAATTAGGTATCCCCATTCTTTCTTGAATGACATACTAGATTAGGAAAAAATTCCTAAAACTTATTTATACTTGCCTCTGTTACTATATTTTTAAATACCTAATCTGCATGTTTGTAGAAAGATATTTTGCTACAGTGGAGATTTGTTTTCCTAACTCCCTTTATGATTTTACATCCACAGGGCAATTTTTTAGATGTAATGAAAGATGTCTTAAATCAAGTAGAAGATGTCTCATTGTTAATTACAGTAAGAATTACACAAGTATTTTTTTTAACTTTTAAGTTTAAAATAATCGTAGACTCTTAGGAAATTTCAAAAATAGTAGCTAGGATCATGTGCCCTTCATCCACTTTTCCTCATTGATGACATCTTATTAACTAGGGATTTTTTAAGATACATTTTTTTCATATTGTGTAATTTCACATAATTTTTAGTTTTAAGCTTGTGAAATTCATTAACCTTTGAATCCTATGATATTCAATTTATTTTGTGTGTTACTTCCTCATGAAAGATCTTTCCTAAGTACCGTATCTCAAATAGGTCTTCTATCCTGTGTCCCCACACCCTTTAGTATCTATTCAGTCACATTGTATGTTAACCTTCATAGCTTTGTTATCATCTGAAAGTATTTTATTTACTTATTTAATTTTATTGTCTGTTGTGTTCACCCGTGTATTAATAGCACCTAAATTTTTACTGATTTTGGACATAGGATTTCTCTGCCTTTTTTTTTTTTAAATGCTTTGAGAATTGGAGTAGAGTTAGAAGGGCCACCCTTCCTGATTTTTAGGAGAGAAGAACATAATTCTGGAGTGTCTCCTCAGTTAGCCTTACCCTGGCTATGGGAATCCTTGTTTTTTTTCTTTCATTTTTAGTTTAGAACATTGGAAGATTCTTTTGGTCAGTGTTGTTATCAAAAATACATTCATGGAGACTTTGTGACCTATTGATTTTTCTAGTAAAAAGTTCTAGATTTTTCAGGGCCTAAGTATATCCTAAATCATCCAACTCTTAATATTTCATCTTTATTTTTTATTTATTTTTATTGTGCTTAAAAAAAGCACTTAATATGGGATCTACCCTCTTAACCAATTTTTAAGTGTGCAGTACAGACTGTTAACTATACATACCATGCTGTACAGCAGATCTCTAGAGCTTTTTGTGTCTTACATGACTGAAACTATACCCATTGAACAGCAACTCCTCATTTCCCCCTCTCCTCAGCCCCTGGCCACCAACCACCATTCTGCTTTCTTCTTCTGTAAGTTGGACTACTTTAGATAGCTCATATAACCTTTTATTTTATAGGAGGTTATCATTGAAAAGAATTTTGTCTTAATTTACATTCACACACTTTTTCTACAAAAAAACAGGTGAAGTGAACCTTTTATTATTCCTTTGAAGGTTGGCTGTGTTCGTTGTTCACCAGAACAAGATTATTCTTCCAGTACCCCTCTGAATTTGCTATGGAAGACTTGTTATTTTGGGTGTTACCTAATCAGCACCCACAGACACAGCCTTTTTTTTATCAGATTACTTGAGATATGGGCTGTAGATATCTCAGTAGGAAACAAGCTTATGTGCAGTTCTGTTGTTTACATCTATCTGAAGTTTGTGAAAATGGAAACCTTTTAGGGAATATCAAGTTGCAAAATGGATACATGGATGATTTGTTATACGTTTAGGTCAAGTCACAGTCTCCTTGTCTCCCTTAATTCTTTCTTGGTCCTTTGCCTCCATGTGGCTTTTGCTGGAAGTAAGTAGTGACTCAGTTAATTTGACAAAAACATAATGTTGTGGCCAGATTGTATAGAGGGTGTATCTTAAGATTTTCCCCCATCTCTTCTAGTTAGCTCAGCCAGTTCTAATTCTGCTTAAGTTTAAGGGCACATGGTCAATTTATATCAGCAAAGCAGAAAATTCCTACCTGCATAAAGTAGTATCTTTAGTTTATTATTAATGTTTTTCTACATGCTAGGTGCCACTGTTAAACCTAGTAGTGCAATCCCCAATATGGGCAGCAATCCAGCAATGGAGAGACTGGATGATGTTGACCCCAGTACTCTTGTGGTGGGATTAGTGGAATTTAGTGAATCCCTACTTAGACAACCCAGCCTTTTTTTTTAAACAGAAAAACAGTGTGCCCTGCTGTCCCCCAAGGATTTCAAAGCCACAACACCTTCAGGTAATTTCATTCCCAAGATGTGGTTATATATTGTCAAATGAAAAGAAGCATGGAAGCTGTGAGTTCTAATATTGTTTTTCTGACTAACTTGTGGAATTTTTTTTTGGAGGGGGCAAGGGTGTTTAGGGCTTCGTGTCTTCATTAATTAAATAAGTATAATAATACCATTAATGTGACTCACCATCATTGTGAAGCATAAATTTGAAAATGGAATACGCTTTAAATGGACTTTGCAAAGGAAAACTTGTATTTCACTTATTAACATGTTTTGCATTCTGGTTGTTCTGAATGCTAATTGAATTCGTTTGTTTACTCTCAGTGTAGGCTGAGAAATTGCATTTAAGATTGTCCGCATTCTTTACTTATTTAATGAAATCCTGGGCTTTATTAACTTCATTTCTGGGTTTTTCATTCTAACTATATGTATTGAAATGCAGTGTGAAAGATAAAGCTTGAATCAAATGATTGACAACTCTAAAGATAGGTTAATATTAATATATTCTTTCATTAACTCTTAAAAACTTAAGTTAAATCGTTTATATTTGAATTTGTTAAATATTATTGAAATTAAAAGACCCAGTATGTTTCTGACTAGTAGTGGGCATTTTTTACCCAAAGTTTTAAGAAACCATTTGATTTATGGAGGTTTTATTTAAAATTCCTTGCTAGTATACATAATTTTTTAAGATAGCACTAAATGCTATATACTTTTAAAATGAGCTGCTTACCTCATTTAAAATAAAACGTGAGGCTGGGCACAGTAGCTCACACCCAGGTACAAGTAATCCCAGTAGTTTGGGAAACCAAGACAGGAGGATCACTTGAATTCAGGAGTTTGAGACCAGCCTGGGCAACACAGCGATACTCTGTCTCTACAAAAAAATTTTGTTTTTATTAGCCAGGCATGGTGGTGCATACTGTTAGTCCCAGCTACATGGGGGACTGAGGCGGAGGGATTGCTTGAGTTGAGGAGATTGAGGCTGCAGTAAGCCGTGATCGTGCACTCCAGCCTGGACAATAGAGTGAGACCTTGTCTCAAAAATAATAAAATAAAAAGTGGGAGATGCCTTTGAAATATTCTTAATGACACATATTGAAATTGGTAGGTGAAAATAAAAGTTATTTTTTTACAGTGATACAGTTATGCTATTCTTTACAAAATAGTAAAATATATTTGTTATGTAAAGATAGTTTGTTTTGTCGATGGAGTTTGGAATCTCCCTGTATCATTCAACCTCAGCCCTATCCAGATCTCTTTCACTGACTAGCTATGTGATTGTAGGCAAATTACTTATCTTCTGCATTTCTCAACTTATACTATTGTAAGGAATATATTAGTAGAAAATAACTCACAGGGTTCTTGTAAAGGTTAAATGAGTTAAACCCACAAGTACTTAACACAATGCTTGATATATAGTTAAGACTCAATAAAAAGAATCTGTTTTTAAAATTTTCGTGCTAAAATGTTCCCTCAAATGGAAGTTTACAAAGATGAAACTTTGCCCAGCCCAGAATCATGTGTAAGTCTTGTATTCAGTTATCTAATAAAACACTTTTATTTTATGTTAAGTTGAAGAAAAAATACATCTAAGATAACCTAAATCTTATTTTCTACTTTCTACTTCTTTATGAAGTGTGTTAAGTATACATTAGTTTTTTGTTTTGTTTTGTTTTTGAGACGGAGTCTCGCTCTGTTGCCTAGGCTGGAGTGCAGTGGTGTGATCTCCGCTCACTGCACCCTCCGCCTCTGGGTTCAAGTAATTCTCCTGCCTCAGTCTCCCAAGTAGCTGGGACTACAGGTGCCCACCACCACACTCGGCTAATTTTTTGTATTTTTAGTAGAGATGGGGTTTCACTGTGTTAGTGGCCAAGATGGCCTCGATCTCCTGACCTTGGTGGCGTGAGCCACCAAGTATATGTTAGTTTTTACCCAGTTAGTTCCTAGTGAACAAATTAGACTTACTTCTTTTTTTTTTTTTGAGACAGAGTCTCACTCTGTTGCCCAGGCTGGAGTGCAGTGGCGTGATCTTGGCTCACAGCAACCTCCACCTCCTGGGTACAAGTGATTCTCCTGCCTCAGCCTCCCAAGTAGCTGGGATTACAGGCTCATGACACCACACCTGCCTGATTTTTGTATTTTTAGTAGAGATGGGGTTTCTCCATGTTGGCCAGGCTGGTCTCGAACTCCTGACCTCAGGTGATCTGCCCGCCTTGGCCTCCCAAAGTGCTGGGATTACAGGTGTGAGCCACCATGCCCTGCCAAATTGGACTTCTTTTCTGACAATTTTAACTCCTATCATATGTTACTGTAAAAATTGGCAAGCCATGCTGATGAAATTAGATACAGATTTAGAGACTTCTCCATTTACTCTTCTCTCTAATAAGAAATATAATCAACTAAATTTACTTTTGAAGATTCTTCCAAGTCTGCAGTTCTGTGATTGGCTGTCTTATGTATTTCACGTTTCTCTCTTCCTACTCTGAGCTACTCAAGTTATTCCTCTGTGTATTACTTAGGAAACCTCTTATTTCCCTCTCACCATTCTCCTTAGCCTTCCAGTCTGTCATACACATTACTACTAGATTAATAGTCTTAGTATAATCCTTTCATCATCTCCTTTGCTCAAGAAACTGCATTTGCTCCCTCTTGCCCAGAAAATCAAATACAGCCAGTAGCTTACCCTCCTTCGTAATTAGGCATCTCTATTTTTTAAATCACTACTGTTGGTATTAGACTGCACTTCTAAACAGTGCTCTTCTATAATGTTAAGAAAGTGTTATCACAGTTCTTTGTCTTGATCTGTATGTGTCAGGCTCATTCCTCTAGCCACTCTTGTTTTATTGCTGTGCTCTTATTTTCTCTGCACCCTTAATCACTCCTACTTCCTGGACAAACATGTACTTGTTTTCCAGGTAGTTTTAGCTCAAATTTCACCTCTTTCATGACTTTTTGATTAGCTCCTGTCATAACTTTTCCTGAAATATATAGGTTGGCTTTTACATTTCTGTATTAATGATATAAAGGTTTATGAATACCATTAAAACATTGCTATTTTTAAAGTTTTTCTATATGTAATAGTGCTGATATAATTATGTGCTTAGTAAATTTTCATTTCCTTGGTAGGTTTTAAAGAAGAACCTCTTTATATGTGACTTTTCCCCCACTTAATGGCTTTCCCTTTGGTTTTATAGAGGCTGCAAGTCGGGCCATAGTTCAGTTCCTAGAGATTAATCAGAGTGAAGAAGCCAGTAGAGGCTGGATGCTTCTAACGACAATTAATTTGTTAGCTTCCTCTGGTCAGGTAAGTTCTTAGTTTTCATGTTTGATAACTCAGCGTCTTTATTTTATAGCCTCTCTTGTGATTTTATTATTAAATTCATCATTATATCCAAATGAGATACTATGATAATCATTTGTATTCTTCTAACTTTTTTAAAACATTATTTCATGCTTCTCATAACATCTCTGCAAGGAGTTTGATGTTCGATGCATTTTACTCATAAGGAAACGCATGGCTTAGAGCAGTGTTTTCCATCTCGATATGTTGTAACACACATAGGACATAACCATTTGTGGCTGGGCTCAGAGGCTCACACCTGTAATTGCAGCACTTTGAGAGGTCAAGGTGGGAAGATTGCTTGAGCCCGGAAATTCGAGACCAGTCTGGGCAACATAGAGAGACCCCAATCTCTTTAAAAAAAAAAAAAAAAATTAGCTGAGCGTGGTGGCCTGCACCTGAAGTCCCAGCTGTTCAGAGGCTGAGGCAAGAGGATTGCTTGAGCCTGGGAGGTTGAGGCTGCAGTGAGCCATAATGACACCACTCCAGCCTCGGTGACAGAGTGAGACCCTGTCTCTAAAAAAAAATTATTTTAATGATACCATTTGTAGAGCATTCTGGGCAAACAGATGGACTATTTCTGGCTGGTGGCAAGTAGCTCAGGAGCTCTGGGTCCATCAGGCCCAGGCCAGCACTTTTGTCACTGATGTTAGGGAAACTCTGGCTCAGGAAAAATAAAAAAATCACTCTTTATCTAAGGTTACTCAGCTTATAAAGAACAAATGACATGGAAAATAGTTTTAAATTTTAATGGGAAATAAGGAAACATTGACATTTTTAGGATAATATATATTTTCTTCTCATTTGATTTATTCTGGAGATTGCTTTTTATTTCCTCCAAATCAGCTGTAATTATCTGTCATGAAATATGTTGCATGTGCTCATTAATGAGCTATTTGGATACCTGATTTTTGGCCTTTCATGTTTTGGGGATGAAAGAGGTTAATTCAGCCTTCTAAAATCCAGAGTATAATTACCTACCAAAGTCAGTACCAATCTTGGGAATGTCTGTTGTCTAAGTTACAGTGGACTTTCAAACACTCTCATCATGTAATAATGGACCTACTTAACTGTAACATAATTGTACCATGTGACTGGCCACAGCAGATACAGTGCATACGTCTTGGTAACCATATCCTGAAACCTGTCAGTAACCCAAAGTAATTATCTCTTAGAATTTTGTCCTCGGAATGATCTGTTTTCTTTTTATTTGTTTGCTGTGTTTTTTCTCTCTTTTTTTTTTCTTTCTTTTTTTGAGGTGGACTCTTGCTCTGTCACCCAGCCTGGAGTGGAGTGCAATGGTGCGGCCTCGGCTCACTGCAACCTCCGCCTCCCAGATTCAAGCGATTCTCTTGCCTCAGCCTCCCGAGTAGCTGGGATTACAGGCGCGCGCCACCACACCCAGCTAATTTTTGTATTTTTGGTAGAGACGGGGTTTCACCATGTTGGCCAGGCTGGTCCCGAACTCCTGACCTCAGGTGATCCACCTGCCTTGGCCTCCCAAAGTGCTGGGATTACAGGCGTGAGCCACTGTGCCTGGCCCTCTTTTTTTTTTTTTAACTCAGGGAATTAGTGTAACCAACCTGTCCTGGTGTTCCTGGGATTTTCCAGGTTTTAGGATAGGAAGGCCTGCATCTCAGGATACTGCACAGTCTCAGGCAAATGGAGAGGGTTGGTTATTGTAAGTAATCTTCAAATGGTCCCAGAGTAGACCATTGTTTTCATGTATCTGACTCTACTGGATGAGTAACAAAATCTCAGTTCTGTTTGCTGTTGATGGTAGCTGTAAATGTATGTATGTTACTATACCAAAATTTGGTTTAGAATAGCATATGTTTATTTGCTATTAAAACTTTATATAATTTAGATATTTACTATTGATATTTAATATAAGTAATATTAACTTTTAATACAGTTTTCTACATTTATTCATATTTTCTATAAAAACCTAATCACTTAAAAAATTACAAGTTTAGATGCCAAGTTATACTTTAAATCTATCTACAATAAATGAAAATGAAACATCATACCACTTTGCTTAGTGGCCAGCTAAACCTAGTAATAATCTATCTGGAAATAGATACATTTAAAAAGCAAATTCAGTGTTATGTTTGGAGCTACCTTGTTTGAGTGCCATTTTCTGCTGGTAGCAGTGTTACACAGAGATGACCAAAACATGGTCCTGACTCAATGTGTAGATGTAAGAGATGAAGCAGAAAAAGATAGTACCATAATATTTAATAATGGGGCATATATAGTGCTATTGAAAATAGAAATGTGAGAGTTAAACATTTTGAAAGTGAGGGTAGAAGGAAAGATGAGGAGTTCAGTAAACTTTGAGACATAGCAGATGTTTAAACTGAACATTAAATGTATGGTAACATAAGTGTTAAGAAATAATCGTAGATGAATAGAACAAAAGGTTTAGAGTATTTGAGACAAGAAATGGTATGTTGGGTATGTAGAAAGGGGCCACATCTTGCCAGGGATAGTCTTGAAGCTTTCTCTTCATCACCCTACTATTGCATTAGTTCCGGCCCCATCTCTCATGTGGTTTGGGGGGTTAGTTTCCCAATTACCCTTTCCTTCTGGCTCTGTATATTTAATTTATGATCTGTATTACCACCAGCTAATTTTCTGAAATCTAGCTCTTTTACTTTTTGTTTGTAACACTTCACTGGGTCATCACTGCCAAGAAAATAAAATGTGAGACTATTTTCATAAGTCATTGAGCATACACACTTTGTAGGCCACTTAGCCAGCTGTCTGACCTAAAGCAGGGTATGTAAGTGATGAACCTCAGTTGCTTCATTTGTGAAATAAGGATCATTTTACAAATGAAGTCATGGGGTTGACTTAAGGAATAGGTGAGATGATGTATGTAAAGTGCTTATTAGCCTTATGCCTCTTATATAGTAAACAGTAATTCAAGGTTAGCCATTATTATTGTGGCTCGTCAGGAGTCAGCATTTTTGGAATCTGTGTTTCTTCAAAAATACTGTACCATATGGCCTAACCTCCTATGTATCTTCCAGGTGATCTTTCCCTTTTTATTTTAATTCCTTATCCTTTTTAATGCCATTCCTGGCAGTGTTAGTCAATCCCTTTTATATTAGCCTGTATATACTACCATTGTTAGACTGAAGTCTTAAGAGATTAAGTCATAGTTACTTAGGACTCTAATAATTCCAGTCGACTGTGGTCTTTTGAAGGACAGAGATGCTTCGTCTTTGCATGCCCAGCTCCCAGCACACAGCCTGACATTCCCTGGACACTCAATAAATGTTTTCTGAGAAAGTAAACTAACTAATCAACAGATTATACCAGTCTGTTGATCTCTAGTGCAGTTGAACTTCTTGTTCCAAACTGCACCATGGAAAATTTTGATAAATATTATATCATACTTAACAATGTTGAAATATGTACTGTAAGAAGGTCTAGAGTTTCTCCTCTGGATATCTTTGAAAATAATATAGAGATGTATTTGTGTCAGTGATGGCTTTATCACTCAAGTGTCTTTCCAGCCTCAAAAATCTACAATAAGAATAAAGATAAAAATAATAGTAAAGCAGCAATGAATATACAATTTAGTGCTTAATGTTTCTTTGTATGTATTATCTTACATAACTCTCATGTTAGCCATGAGAAGGGTGTATCATTCTATCTATTTTTATAAGAAAGGCAAGTGAATCTCAGGAGAATTAAGTAGTTTGCTGAAGTTCGTAGTTATTAAGTGTCTTTTTCTAAATTCTAAAGCTTATGCTTCCGAAACATGCTGCTTTTTAATAAATAAATATTAAATTTAATTGATAATTTACTATATAACAAAATCTCACTATTTGATTAAAGCAAAATTGTTCAGATGCATAGTTGTATATTTCTTCACTTGGAGTCATTTTTAAATTCTTACATGCATTTTAAAAAGTTACCTTTATATATAATTTTTGGGTTAACATTTGTGAATTATTTGGCTGTACCAATTATAGTTGTGTCTATCTATTCACTTATTTATTGGCTTGTTTTCCAGAAAACCGTGGACTGCATGACAACAATGTCAGTGCCTTCCACCCTGGTTAAATGTTTATATCTGTTTTTTGACCTTCCACATGTGCCTGAGGCAGTTGGAGGTGCACAGAATGAGCTACCTCTAGCAGAACGTCGAGGACTACTCCAGAAAGTTTTTGTACAGGTATGAAAGGTGCTATTTGCCTACCTCCACCCTATTTAAAGGGAAGTGGGTATACTTCCTAAATAGATGTTTTACATATTCCATTTTTTAACTCATATTTCATTTTATTTATGATAGTATGACTTTATCTCATATAATTGTCACATTTTTTGAATCTGCAGAAATAATATTGAAATATTCTTTTCAGGAATATTTGAGTGAGGCATTAGCAAGTTTGTTTCTCTGAACAGATCCAGCCATTGAGATTACTTTTGATATATCAGAATGTCTGTAAAATGAACTAAGCAAGGAAAACTTGAAAATGATATAAAGATTTGGATAATATTTCTTATAATGTCTCAAAATTCTATCTAGTTGCTGTTTATATACAGGAAGTCCCCAGCTTATAAATATTTCACTTGTAAAGACAGTTTACTTTGGTGGTGGCTGCCTCCTCCTCTGCCCTGCCTGTAAGGCTCTTCTTTCCCACTGTTAGCACTGTTCTTTTAATAGCATTGTGGGTTAACAAATGTGTGATAGACCTTTATTAGCTAGCCCAGGAATATAGTCATCATGTATGATATCCTTTCTTGGCAGAAAATTGTCAAAACAAGCAAACAAACATATAGAATATAATCTGTCCATTGGTCTAATACAGTATTAAAAAAACAACATTTGACACAAAAAGACAAATACTGCGTGATTCCACTTATATGATATATCTAAAGTAGTCATACAGGTGGAACAGAAAGTAGAATACTGGTGGCTAGGAACTAAGGGAAAGAAGAAAAGGGAATTATTTTTCTATAGGAGTAGAGTTTCAGTTTTGCAAGATGAAGTTCTGTTGCACAGCAGTGTACATATAGTTAACACTACTGTACCACACTCTTAAAACAGTTAAGATGGTAAATGTTACATGTTTTTTTAACCCAATCAACAGTTAAAAACAACATGTTTAGATCTAGTTCTCTAAAGCAAAGTCATCTAAGATGCAGATTTCGCACCTGTAAAATGAAAATGATATCTACCTAAAAGGTTTTTTGAGGCTTAAATGACATAATATGTAAAGGTACGATTTTCAGCTTAGCACATAGTAGATAGGAAGGAGAAGTAACTGTGATTACTGCCACTGCCACCATCACCACTACTGAGAGTAGGAAGCGAATAGAGAGAACAGTGGATTGGGGTAGAAAAGATAGAGCTGTATAGAGTAATGGTTGCAGGCTCACCTCATGTCACTGGGCTCTTTACTGTAAGGATGACTCTGTTTGGTAGAGCTGCTAGTGATGAAAGGACAGGAGAGAGTGAGACCAAGACAGTTTTAGAAAGTAAATGAATGGGATTATCAAGTAAAATACTAAATCAGTATGTTTATTGAACACTTGATCTGTTAGACACTTTTGTGCTTGTGGTTAACATTTCTCATCTCACATCTCAATTTGCAAGATAACCCCACGACTTCAGAGCTTTTGTTTTTCCCCAAAATGATTATGTAAGCAAATGGCAGGAATAGGATTAGAACTCAGATCTATCTGATTCCTGAATTAGATTGGCTAAGAAAAGCAATGGGAATAAATGAAGGAGTAAATCGCATAGGAATTATAGCTGCTTGAAGATATTGCCGATGAATGTGGTGGGTTAATCTTTGCTGATTAGAATAGCAGCCTCATTTCAATAAACCCCTTTTAAAGAACTAATGCCTTAGGTAATAAATGGAATCTGCATTTTATACTTTTAATACCTACATAAGCATAGCAAAGTTTTTTAAAAAATTATTTCTATTTGAAAACCAGGTGCTGACTTTCGATCATGTGGGAGTCACTTTAGCATACTGAAGTCATTGAATATTAAGGCCAAAAGGGACTCAAAACATAATTTAAATCAAACTCCTCATTTACAGTTGTGGAAACTAATATTCCGGTTTATGATCCATAGTAGGCAAGTGACAGTGATAAAAACCTAGCTCTCCCAACTCCTAGTTCACTGCTGCTTTTAGTGTATCACTTTCTTTGTTTTAGTTCCTCATCGCAGGCTAATGTTTTCATCATTGTGTCTAGGAAACCAATTGACACGAACTTATTAAATGTTTTAAAATAGATGCAATCCCTACGTTTGTATTATGTGACAGACGGTTTCCTGGGACTTTAGCATTTGGTAATGCTTCATGCAGGCATTCAGTTTTTTTGTTGTTGTTGATGTGGCCAGTTATTGCTCTGCCACACTTGGTTGGACTTTTGTAACAGAGTTCTTACAAATATAAGTGGTTAGTAGAGGCAGAAGAGGAATGAGAAATTTTTTTTGGAGAGAATTTTGGTCTGTCTCCCAGGCCGGAGTGCGGTGGTGCGATCTTGGCTCACTGCAACCTCTGCCTCTTGGGTTCAAGCGATTTTTGTGCCTCAGCCACCCAAGTAGCTGGGATTACAAGCTGTGCCACCATGCCTGGCTAGTTTTTTTTTTTTGTTTTTAGTAGAGATGAGGTTTCACCATGTTGGCCAGGTTGGTCTCGAACTCCTGGGCTCAAGTGATCCTCCCGCCTCAGCCTCCCAAAGTGCTGGGATTACAGGCGTGAGCCACCACACCCAGCCAGGAATGAGAAATTGACTTTACAGTTTTCTGTTCTGTAAAAATGAAAGGATCGTACTAGATTATTTGTAAGAATCCTTCTGCCTATAAAGATGAACCAGTTATCTTATAAGTCAACAAATTCAAGAAATCCTTGCATCCAGTTTGAGAACAGTGATTTGATTTGTAAAAAAGTATTTTATTATTTGTGGGTTTGTTTTCTATGTACCAAATTGGAAAACTGGCATTTGTCTCGCTAATCACATAAGGCAGTGTCAGAACCAACAACAACTATAATCACTAATACACCCCTCTGAGAATACACTTTTTTGTTGCATTTAACTGTCTGTATTCACATATGGTAAAAGATGATGACATATTACACATATTAATGGACATTTGGTATCCAGCAGTTTCTCCAGGCATTTGGTGGGAAGGGTACCATATTTACTGATTTTATAAATATTTTATTGTTTTTATGAATTCTTAAACCTTTTTTTCCTTTCTGATACTTGGCAGCTATGAATTAGAAAGCTTTTATATCTAAGCAAGTTTTTGCATTTGAGGGAAATAGGAAAAGGAAGGCCTAGTTTTCTCAGATAAAATGTGATATTTCAGCTACCTCTCTCTATTGAGCTTCGCTTCTCTTCTGTTCTCTTCTGTTCTCTTCTGTTCTGTTCTCTTCTCTTCTCTTCTCTTTTCTTTTCTTTTCTTTTCTTTTCTTTTTCTCTTTTGAGACAAGGTCTCACTCTGTCATCTAGACTGAAGTGCAGTGGCATGATCACAGCTCACTGCAGCCTCGACCTCCCGGGCTCAGGTGATCCTCTCATTTCAGCCTCCTGAGTAACTTGCCACCATGCCTAGCTAATTTTTTGTAGAGATGGAGTTTTACCATGTTGCCCAGGCTGGTCTCAAACTCCTGGACTCAAGTAATCTGCCTACCTTGGGCCTCCCAAAGTGCTAGGATTACAGGCATGAGCCACCACACCTGGCTGCTATTTTCCACTGATGCTGAAATACCAAAATTTCATGAAGCGCTCTTTTTCAAGAGAATAAAATGATGTCATGAGTTATAGTTATTTCATTCATACTATATATTTTAAAAAATACTTAGATGAGAAAATTTAGCAAAGAGAAGAAAAGTTAACTTTTCCTAACCTGAACTGGTATTAGAAGAAAGAGCCCATTGAGGGCAGAAACCATTGCTGAATTCCCAAGTGGCAGGCTCTTAATGGTGTGTGCTCTTGTGTAGTATGTATTCTGCAAATCACAGTTAAAGAATAAGTTCTCATTCCAGTACTTAAGAAGTCTTGAGTCTTCTTTGAAAGCCAGACTTTAGGTTTTTGGCAACTAGATTTAAAATACTCTGAAATGAAGATTATTTATACTCTAATATCCTCTATTACTTGTATAGAAAATTGAAAAAATTTCAAAATATCTTTGCTTTTAAAGATCTATTTTTACTTCCTTTTTTTTCTAAAACTGTCCTTTTTAGAGAAGAAAATTACATTTCGCCAGTGGCAAACTAAAAATTAAAGAACTAAGTTAGAAAAATAAAATGTTGACTTGGAAAAGCAATGCTATTTTATCTTGTTTCAAGCCACGGTATGCAAAAATATTAGGGTGAAGAGAGGATAGTAAATGTTTTTTAAAAAATCAGGTGATATAAGTAGGACTAGTTTACTGTCATAACATAATCAGCCATTTATTTACTTACATACACTCTTACGGTTTTTAAACTTTCATTATTAATTTTAATTGACAAATAATAATTGCATATATTTATAGGTCACAGTGTAATAATTTTTGTGTATACAATGTGTAATGATCGAATCAAGGGTAACTAGCGTATATATATCCATCACCTCAAACATTTATTATTTCTTTGCATTGGGAACATTTAAAATTCATTCTTCTACCTATTTAAAAATATACAATACATTGTTTTTTTAATAATATTCACTCTATAGTGCTATAGAACACTAGAACTTACTCCCAACTATACTTCAGTATCCCTTAACCAGCCTTTAGCTTGCCCCACTCGCCTTCCCTTATCCACCCTTGGTAACCAAAACTCTACTCTTTACTTTCATGAGATCAACTTTTTAAACTTCTACATATGAATGAAAGCATTCAATATTCATCTTTCTGTGCCTGGATTATTTTCCTTAACATAATGTCCTCCAAGCTTATCCATGTTGCCTTTAATGACAAAATTTCATTCTTTTTTATGGCTGAATAGTATTAGATTGTATATATATTCCATGTTTTCTTTATCCATTCATCTGTTGGATACTTAGGTTGATTCTAAATTTTGGCTATTGGGAATAGTGCTGCAGTAAACATGGCAGTGCAGCTATCTCTTTGACATACGAATTTCATTTCCTTTGGATATATACCCTCAGTAGGGGGATTGCTAGATCATATGGTAGTTGTATTTTTACTTTTCTGAGGATCCTCCATACTGTTTTTCATAATGGCTGTACTAATTTACATTCTCACCAACAGTATATAGGAGTTCCCCTTTCTCTACTTCCTTACCAGCATCTGTTCTTTTTTATCTTTGATAATAGCCATTCTAACTGGCTTGAGGTGATACTTTATTGTGGTTTTAATTTTCATTTCCCTGATGATTAGTGATGTTGAGCATTTTTTCATATACCTGTTGGCCATTTCTATGTCTTCTTTTGAGAGCAGTCCATTCAGCTCATTTGCCCATTTTTAAATCAGATTATTTGATTTTTGCTTATACACTCTTGTTTTGTTTTGTTTTATTTTTTAGATCTTAGTGAAACTGTGCAGTTTTGTTTCCCCTGCGGAGGAGCTGGCTCAGAAAGATGATCTCCAGCTTCTATTCAGTGCAATAACCTCTTGGTGCCCTCCCTATAACCTGCCTTGGAGAAAGAGTGCTGGAGAAGTCCTCATGACCATATCTCGTCATGGTCTTAGTGTCAATGTAGTGAAGTATATTCATGGTGAATATCTCTTTATATATTTAAGTGTTCTAAATTTCTTCCACTTTTCTTCATTTAATAATAGATTTATTTTTATCTTTCAGTATTCTAAAGCTTGTTCTTTAAAATAAAAAATAAATTTGCCCAGAGAAAAGAAAATATTTTTTTTCATCTGTGGGGCATTTCAAATGTAAAACATTCTCCTCATAAGTTCTGAACAATAGATATTTCTTTTTTTTTTTTTTTTTGGATGGAGTCTCACTCTGTCGCCCAGGCTGGAGTGCAGTGGCGCGATCTTGGCTCACTGCAACCTCCATCCTCCCGGGTTCAAGCAGTTCTCTGCCCTAGCCTCCTGAGTAGCTGGGATTACAGGTGCACACCACCATACCTGGCTGATTTTTGTATTTTTAGTAGAGACAGGGTTTCACCATCTTGGCCAGGCTGGTCTTGAACTCCTGACCTTGTGATCCACCCTCCTCAGCCTCCCAAAGTGCTGGGATTACAGGCGTCAGCCACTGCGCCTGGCCAACAATGGATATTTCTAAAAGTTAAAAAAAATTTCATTGTTGTGTAAATTCAATCATAATGTAATGAAAGTTCTGTGTCACAGCCTATTCTTCTCTCTTCTTTTACTGAATAAAAAAGAAGTTTTTTTGATATCCTGTAACCAGTCTTTCTGAAGATATTGCATAAGTTACTAGGTAATAATCTGTCATGCAGCATAGATGGAATTAGGTGGATTCTTTATCAGCAGTAAGAAGACACTGTTGGTTTAAAGTATATGTAATATTCAGCTATCTTTTAAAATGTCTGTATAGGAGACAATTGCCTTAGCATCTCAAGCAATCTACTTATTTGGTATATACACAGATGCTCCTCAATTTATGGTGGGGTTATGTCCCAATAAACCCATCATAATTTGAAAATAGTGTAAGTCGAAAACGCATTTAATACACTTAACC